>NC_000001.11:58644744-58796259 GCF_000001405.40 Homo sapiens | reverse complement strand
ATAAGTGTTCTCTTTTCTTCACTTTACTAGTTTTTTCTTTGTTTCATTTTTGTTTCTGTTTCTTAACTAAGAAATTAATTTATGCTTATTATGATATATTACAATATTCACTCCCTCCTTCTGCAACCTCTATGACTTCCCAGCTCTACTGATACTGAACTTAGCTGTGATACTTGCTTCAGTCAATAGAACGTGGACAGAAATGATATCATAACAGTTCCAAGCCTGGCCTTAAAAAGTTTCACATGCTTCCATTTACCCCAGTGTCTCCCCTGAGAAGAATATGCCCCTGGTAGATTCGACCTCTCTAGGATGAGTTCTAGAATGAGACACATGGAGCACATTTGAATGTGACCCTCAGCCCCCCATTTCTCCAGGTTGTAAACTACGCACACATGCAACAATGCATTAAAGTCAGCAGTTGCAGGAAAAGCCATCATCACTACTTAGAAAACTGTAAGGGTGGCAGCTGTAATGGGGAGGACAGAACACCAAATTAGGTCTTAGGAAGGTGAAGCCACCTCAACTGACCTGCAGACCAAAGAGCAGGAAATCAACTGATTAACATTGCGTAGCACTCAGATTTTGCGATGGTTTGTTTCACAAGAAGAGCTAATTAACCTACCTATTGTGACAAGTAAAAATTTACAGAAATCTAATTTTTAAAGAGAATAAAATCTTCTCTCTAATCCCACCCCTGACTAAGGCTACTAATGATAACCATTTGGTATATAACTTTCTGCTGTTTTTTTTTTCAAGGATTAAAGGAGCAAATGCATGTTTAAAAAAAAACACTTAGCATAGTGCTGGGCATATGAAGAAAGCACTCATTAAACATTAGCTATTTTTATTGGTATTCTCACATAAACAGACATACTCAGATATAGGTGTTTCAATTTGTGCAGAAATGAGACCATGCTATGCACATTACTCTGAAACTTTCCTTTCTTCACTTATTGCTACATCATGGGCATTCCTCTAGGTCAACTCATCTTTATAAGGTTAATTAGCTCCTTTTAAAATGGCTACAGGATATTCCATGGTTTGACTATTCCATAATTGTCTTATTTCCACTTTACAGGTAAAGAAACTGAGACTCAGAGAACTGAAAGTGTTTGCAAAATTGTTGCTACCCCTCCCTATCAAGTCTTCTCTTCTTCCCCTGTCTCAGGCTTGGTTTTGTGACACTGTGACACAATTTGGCCAATGAAAGGTGAGTGGAAATGCCCATAGGTAAAGCCTTAAGAGCCACCCCATGGTGACAGCTCTCACCCTCGTCTGTAACATACACCAGCAATATCTCAAACAGAGGCTGCTCCTTCAGCCTGGGTCTCGAAGTAAAGACCTAAGGTGTAAATCAGGAAGGAAATGTAACATGCATATGAAATAAACTCATGTTGTTTTAAGCCTCTGAGATGCTGGGGGTTGTTTGTTGCCACAACATGATTTAGAGAATGCTAACACAATGTTTCCAGACTTTCAAGTGTTTTGTCATTCATTACAAATATTCATCATCACTGGTTTGGTCAAGCACCAACATGCTAGTCAATAAAGATGTGAGTTGATAAAATAATCAGGAATAATCACCTCCCTAACTGTATTTTTAAAAACTATCAATAGCCTCCTCCTCAAGTTCCAAATAACTGGCGAAGGATATGATAATATCACAGAAAAGATAAGTCTACCTAACCCAGTAGGTTGAGGACCATCCTTTGTGTGTGGGAAGCCTCCTAGGTAGGTCAGTATTATAAGAACTTTGACCCAGTTTCTTCATGTTGCAAACTACATACACACAAACAGGCAACACTGTGCTAAAAGGCAGTAGTTCCAAGAAAAACCATCATTGCTACTTAGAAAACTGCAGGGAAGGCAGGCAAAATGGAGAGGAAATTAGAATAAATGGGACATTAGGAAGTCTAATTCCAGCTTCGCCATGTATCAGCTCTGAACCTCAGTTTGCAAAGAAGACTGCTGTGAGGATCCAATGAGGGACAGCAGGTGCAGTCACGACTAATAAGAAAAAGAAACATGTATTCTGATTTTTTTAAATTACATGTGGAATACATGTTCGTTGTAGAGAATTTTAAAACAAACAGAGAACATAAGAAAGAAAGTGGAAATTACCCAAAAATCACAACCATTGACATCCTAATGGTTAATCAGCCATATTTCCTTCTAGGTAAATGCATACCCATATTACATATTATACTTGTACATCACACAAAGCCTTCTGAATGCATTTATTAAGTACATGCATACATATATTACAA
This sequence comes from Homo sapiens, assembly GCF_000001405.40. Lineage (NCBI taxonomy): Eukaryota > Metazoa > Chordata > Mammalia > Primates > Hominidae > Homo > Homo sapiens. Next base: position 58,793,989 of record NC_000001.11, on the reverse strand, counting down.
GACCTTCCTCTCAGGCTCATTCTCTCCATTCTTCTTCCCAGTTTACCTTTTTGTCCCTCCAAACATGCCCCATATTCAATAATATCCAGGCCTTTGTATATGCACTCCCTCTTCCCAGAATATTCTTTCTCTCTCCACTATCTCCTCTTTTTCTGGCTACTCCTACTCATCTTGGAGGGCTCAGTTCCTAGAGGACAATTATCTGACCCTGACCCTTGTCAGATTTCCCCAGGGAACCTAGAGCATCCTGTTCCTTGTTTTTCATAGCATTGCCATACTGGACTAGTCTTGCCTCTTTATTCTACTTTCCTTGCTAGACCCCAACTTGTGGGCAGGTACTATAGCTTTTGTTCACCAGGGATTACCAAAGGCTGTCCCATAGTAAATGCTCAAAATTTTTTGAATAAATGAGTAAAATAGTTAACAATATATGCTATCTATTTTTCTTCTGAAATCCCCAAAGCACCTTACAGTTCTCAATAAATACCCACTGAAAGATTAAATATGGAAGAGTATGTAAGACATGGTAACATGCTTCATGAAGTTTATAAATTAGATGGGAAGAAAGCATTGTAAAAGGAACCTCAGCACAATTAAATGCTATATTCTTTTCTTCTGCCTCCTCCACTACTTTTCTTCAAACTAGAAAGAGCAGAACAAAATCCCTAAGTTCAGTTCCACATTTGTTTCTTCATTGAGGGTATCCTGCAGCACTAACTGAAATAAAACAGCAGCTTTAACACATATGCTCCAACATTTCAGTGGCTCAGCGCAATAAAGTTGATTCCTCATTCCATCAAAATCCTATTGAGAATATTTCTGGTCGATAAGAAACCTTTCACATGGTTATTCAGAGATCTGGACTACTTCTATCTGTGGACCTGCCCTTCTCTACGACCTTGGAGACACAGAGACGAGGAGATGGGGAGAGACGGTTTTATGAGCCAAGCCTGTAAGTGATACACAGCACATTCACTGCATTGACTAAAACTCAGCCACAGGTATTTAGAAAGGAGGCCAGGAAATGTAGTCTATCTGTACATACAAGAGGAAAAGAAAAGAGGTTTGGTGAAAACTTTGTAGTTCTTCGCCACAGCTGATAAGGGAGTACCTAATCTTCTCAAGTGATCCCAAGACCAGGTAATTTTGATTTATGGATACTGAAAACACCCATTTTTTGACAGAAAAATATCCATCTAATAGTGGACATGAGAATGTATCATTCCAGGTTTAGGAATTTTGAAGGTAAAAAAAGGTCAATTCCAGAAATGAGAAACAGTGATGTTAATTACCACTCCAGAATTCTAAATGAGATTCTTTAAGATGGCTTTTATGAACATTGAAAATAAGAATGATGATTACTATAAGTACAATGAGCTGACAAGGAATTATCATAAATGATAATTTATGGCATCGTTTCTGGCACATAGTAGATAATAAATACATGTTGAGCAGGGAAACTACAATTCTACTTTTAAGGCAACTATCCTATTGATAAATAATTTTAACTTCAGAAAGTTCCTTCTTAAATACAGGAAAGTTTTCTTCTCTAACTTCTAACCATTAGCCTAGCTCTGACCTCAAAACCTACAGAGACTCCTATGGGTGCTCTATTGGTCTTCCCCCTGCCTTCTCCAACCCACACTTCTCCCAGGCAAATAATCCCAGTTCATTCAATTCTTCTCCACAAGACAAGGTTTCAGGCCTCTCACCATTTGGCTGTCCTTCCCACAGATATCTGTGGTTGGCCAAATTGCTTTCCAAATTTCAGGCCCACAATATTCCCAAAGATGGGACCCAATGGTGTCCAACCAGTAGCATTTAGTAGAATTACTACTCTTGGCTTTGGGCATTGTGTCCTTACTTTGTGACTAGAAGTATTTAAGTAGTGAAGATGCTAGCAAAGGAATTTCTGCATTGGAAAAAAGGCAGGACTTGGAAGGTGACCACTAAGGACTCTTGCCACTTTATGATCCTATAGGTTTTGTAGAAGTTCTGAGTAGAGAAAAGGCATCACCATAAGTGTGATAATGTACGCAACAGTTACACATTCCTCCTTGACAAAAACCTTGAAGAAAATCCAAAAGGACTTCCACAAGGGCTCCGATGTATAAAAAAGATGTATTGGGTATATTCTCTGTGCTAAGCATGCTAGATGCTATGGATACAGTGGAGACCAAGAGATACAGTTTTTCTATATTCTTGACACTTGGCATCTAGTGTGTGAAATGGACTTTAATAAGACAGTTTAAAAAAATACATAATTACATAAAGAAATATAGAATAATACTTTTTAAAACATTCTATTGTTAAGAGAAAATCACCATTTCCCTTGCCTCAGTTTTCCATGATGGGACATCTGCTAAAATAACCCTCTTATCCTTTCTCTCCATCCTTTATATATAGTCCCCATGGGAAGAAAAGTAATTTGAGTTATCTGATTTCTGAGTTCACAAGAAAGACCCATGCATGCCCCACTCAGAAACCGGCTCTCACTTTTCAGAGTCAATTCATCCAAAGGATGTATACACTCACTGTACCTCTGGAGAAGGTCTGCAACTGTCCATCATAGCCAGGAACCAGTAGGTAAGTTTAATGCATGGGTGAAACATCAGTGCTATGGGTTGAATGTTTGTCTCCTCCAAACATCATGTTGAAATGTGATTCCCACCTGTTGGAGGTGGGGCCAAATGGGAGGTGTTTGGGCCATGGGAGCAGATCCTTCATGAATAGAGTAATGCCCTCCCTGGGGTGAGGCAGGGAGTGAGTTCTTCTAGCTCTATTAGTTCTCAGGAGAGCTGGATATTAAAAAGAGCTTTGCACCTCCCCCTTTTCTCTCTTGCTTCCCTTTTGCCCATGTAATCTCTACACACCCAGAACCCCTTCACCTTCTCTCATGAGTAGAAACAGCCTGAGGCCCTTACCAGATGCAGATGCCCAATCATGAACTTTCCAAGCAGCAGAATTATGAGCCAAATACACCTTTTTTTTTCTTTATAAATTACCCAGCCTCAGGAATTCCTTTATAGCAACACAAAAGAGACTAAGACAATCAGAAAATCCACTGTGGCTTCCTGTTTGCCATACCCTCCAAACCAGTCTGTATTAGCTTTCACATTGATATTTTGATCCCCACTCATCTGATTCCTGTGTCTAACTCTCAGCTGGTTCTTAACTCCAGAAGGTGAGAAAGGGGTGTTATTCATAATCCTTCTCAAAGAAAAGTTATAGGGACTTATGAGAGTATAAGGAGAAATCTAATTTACATGGAGAGAGGGCACATTAGGAAAAATCACAGAAAGTCTCTTTGTCATTTAAGCTAACATCCAAAGAAAGATAGAAATTGGCCAAAAAACAAGGAAGGGTTAAGAGGTTCTTAGACAACAAATAGTTTGTCTTATATGAGGAACAAATGAAGGCTAGTGTGGGAGTCATTAGGACTGGTCACCATAGGATTGTGCTTCCTGGTCCCCTTGTGGCTTGGCTGGGCTGGGCCATGAGACTAGTTTTAGTCAATGAATGTGTGAGAAGTGACATGTGACATTCTTAGGAAAAGACACTTAATTGCTGTGATGAGACCCTTCAAAGCTGCCTTTCCTTCTACCACGAGATCTGAAATGTTCCTGAAAGTGGGTGTTCCATCAGCCTGGGTCCTAGAGGAAGGTGATGTGATCAGAGTGCTTGCCAACCCTTGCTGGACATATTGCAGGAGCAAGGAAAAAAAAAACTGTATTTCTTAAGTCACTGAGGTTTGGGGGAAAAAAATGATTTAATTATAGCATATGAACATATAGGAACAAGAAAAAAACTTTATTTCTTAAGTCACTGAGGTTTGGAAATATTCTTAATCATAGCATAACTTAGGCTATCCTGATTGATTCAGCCAAAGGCAGTGTGGCTGGAGAAAAGTGAGATGAGAAGTCCTAGCTCTTTTAAGCTAATAGGATGCCTTTAAGGAGGCTTCAGCAGGGGAATTTGACATTTTCCACATATTATGTATTAAAACAAGGTACTATTGCTACTCAATCATTAAAACACCCCCTTCATTCCACTATGGAAAAGGCTATTTAAAAAAAATCCATCAACAAGCATTTACTGAGCACCTTCTATGCTTTCATATGCCAGGCTTTGTATTAAGCATTGGAGATACAAAATAAGAATAAGACACAGTTGCTGGATTTGGAGTCAGGGATTTAAGAAGACATTTACAAGATCATGTGAAAAACATTCTCTACTTCAGGTATGTACCCAGTATGGTGACAGCCAAAGAGGATAATAACTATTCGAGGTGAAGCAGGAGATGGGGTGAGGGAAAGCTTCAGAGGTAGTGATTATTTGAGCTGGCTCCTGAAGGGTGAATAGGAGTTTGCCAGGTAGCCTTTTGATTAGGGATAAACGTACATGCAAAGACAGGAAACTGTCAGAGCGATGGAAAATGTCTGGGGTGGCAGCGACTCAAAGGAATGGAGGGAATGTGGAGTGCAGGGTGTGGTAGACTGCAATACTATTCAAAAATACTTGCTGCCCCTCCTCACTGACATCAGGCTCGGTCATATAAATTGCTCTCAGTATAAGCTTTAAGGGCTATGCTTTTTTCTGTCTGCCAATAACAGTAATGTTTTAGAAAGAGCGTGCTTCATTAACCAAGGTCTTTGAGCAAAGATCATGTGTGTAAATCAGAGACACAGCCAACTTATGGTGGATGTATTAGTCTGTTCTCACACTGCTAATAAAGACATACCTGAGATTGGGAAATTTATAAAGGAAAGAGGTTTAATGGACTCACAGTTCCACATGGCTTGGGAGGCCTCAAAATCATGGCAGAAGGCAAAGGAGAAGCAAAAGCACATCTTACATGGTGGCAAGCAAGAAAGCTTGTGCAGGGCAACTCCCATTTATAAAACCATAATATCTTATGAGACTAATTCATTACCATGAGAACAGTATGGGGGAAACTGACCCCATGATTCAATTATCTCCACCTGACCCCACCTTTGACATGTGAGGATTATTACAATTCAAGGTGAGATTTGAGTGGGGACACAACCAAACCATATGAGTGGACATGCAATATGAGTGAGAAACAATTCTGTGATTGTAACCCAGTAAGATTTTTGGATGGCTAACACAGCATAACCTAGAGTATATGGAGGTGTGCATTTCCAGCTCTTTGACTTCCGGGTACCTAGTAGGATTGCACTTTCCTGCACCCTTTAAGTAAGGCATGGCCATGTGACTAATTTTAGCCAATAATATGTAAATACAATAAAAAGTGTCATTCCTAGGAGGGAGCTTTTAAAGCCAATGTGAGTTCACCATGCTTTCTTTCCCCTGCCAAACTGATGCGATGATTGTTGAAGCATGTATCAAGATGAAACCTTCTTCAGACTAGGTTTCTAAATGAGCACATTAAGCAGAGCCCCGTGAAGTTGAACATGTAGTATGAGCAAAATATAAAATTTATTTTTAAGCCACTGAAATTTTAGGATTGTTTGTTATGGCAGCATAACCTAAACCATCCTGACTCATATAAAAATTGGCTCCTAGATATGGGTTAGTGTAATAACAACAATAAGCATAACAACAATAAAACTAAACAATCATTTAGAGGGCGATAACTAAGAACACTGCTATCAGAAGCTGAAGGGATGGTGATCTGTTTGGTAAACATATCACCTGTGATAATGTAGAAGGCAGATCATGAACCTGATGAACTAAAGAAAAGGATTGTAAAACAGAGAGTGAGTAGTGTGTGTTGGTGGCTGTTGGATGCATTCTGAAAGTTACTACAAGCTATTCAAAGATGAACTCAGAAAAATTTGGCCTGTTTGCAATCAGGAATGAAATGGAATAGAGAAAACCTATAAATCCAGGGATTTACATCGTTAGAAGAGGCAATTGTTTCCCAGTCCCGACTGGTAAAATATAAAATCAAGAAATACTTTTAGCAAGAAAGGACCTGGAAGAAACTAAGCTTTGAAGTAAGGATCAAGTCACAAAGTATGAACCTACTATTAAAACCTCAGGATAGGAGGCCGAGGAGGACGGATCACCTGAGGTCGGGAGTTCGAGACAAGCCTGACCAATATGGAGAAATCCTGTCGCTCCTAAAAATACAAAATTAGCCGGGCGTGGTGGCGCATGCCTGTAATCCCAGCTACTCAGGAGGCTGAGGCAGGAGAATCGCTTGAACCCGGGAGGTAGAGGTTGCAGTGAGCCGAGACTGTGCCATTGCACTCCAACCAGGGCAACAAGAGTGAAACTCCGTCTCAGAAAAAAAAAAAAAAGGATCAATTAAGATCTTACCCAGTATATACTTTCAACTGGACAAAATGGCTCTGGGAAAAGGAAGAAAGGTCTAACTCTCCCATCAAAACCCAATAAGCCCAAAGTGCTCAAAATCAAGTGAAGAGCAAGAGAGTGAGACGGCAAAAGAGAGACAGAGGAGTCAACAGGCAGGAGAGCAGGAAAGCAAAGAGATATGGCAAACCAAAGAAGTATGTCTGGAAAAGAACTTTGTGGCTATTGTCACATGGAACACCTCATATCAGATAGATAAGAAGCCTACCTACACATATTCAAGACTTAATGTCACTCTGCATCTCCCCAACTTTTAAAAGCTTATTTAAAAGCATATTTTCCAATGCCTGCTTTAGCTGTGGAAAAGGAAGACTCTCCGAGGGCAAATCCAGGAGTCATGGAAAACAATGGGCAGGGCAGCTTGGTGCTGTGACTGGATGGGTCTTTAAGGTTGTTTCCCTTGAATAAAGAATGAGGGAATTCCACCAGGGGAAGGAGAGTAGACCAAACATTTGGTGAACAGAAAGGGAGACAGAGTCTTTAGTGTTATTCCCCAAATATTCCTGGAGAGCCCTTTGAGACACCTGGTAGGATTATAGTGATCTAAAGAGGCATGGCCATGTGACTGCTTTGGCCAATGATGTATGGGCAGAAGTGATGTGTGCCATAAGTGGATGCTCTGACAGCCATGATGTTCCGAGTTCCTTCCCCACAGTCAGGATAGCTGTGAAAAGGGGTATCAACACGAGGCCTCCTTCAGCCTGAGCCCTTTAGTGACTACAATGAGCAGAGCTACCCTGCCAACCTACAACGGTCATGTAGCAGAAATGACCAACTTTCACTGGAATAAGCCACTGATATGTTAGGGTTGTTTGTTAGGGCAGCATAACACTGCCTTTCCTGACAGAACTGGGAGTGAGAGATAAGGCTGGAGAGAGAAGGAGTTGGATTGTGAAAAGCCCCTTCTCCAAGGCATAGGAATCGGAACTCTCCTGATTGTAAGGAAAAGCCAATGAAGGCTTCCAAGCAGGGGCGTTAACATGAACAGATTTGTTATTTTTTTGGATGAAATATGCTATTTCTCAACATAAGGAGAAGATCAGCCTACTAAACCACATGAGGCAGAGAGGAACACACAGAACCTTAGGCAAAAGATATATATTTATGCAAAGTCCTAAGTCTTGAAATTTCTAAATACAAGAGCTCTGAACGGAGTTACAGTCAGAGGATCAGGCAAGAAAATTTCTTCTATGCCACAAGCGCTATTTCCTCTGCAGATAACTAATACTCCACAAGAAAGTTTGCCAGAGTAGAGAAAATACAAAGGAATGTAACACAGACCTGAGGTCAATTTCCAGCTGCCTGTGTGACCTCAACAAAGATACTTAACCTCTCTGGGCCTATTTCCTCACATGTTAAATCTGGATAATAATATATGTCTCTCAAGACAGTTGTGGGGAGAAAACAGCGTATTTAAATTGCTTAGGAGAATGCCTGGCAGATAATAAGTGTTTAATACATGAAACTGATTTTTATTACTGTTATTAAAAAATATTTAGAACACCAACTCCCTGAATACAACAGAAAATGATTCAGGGCAACAGACAGAGGAGAATGTTCTCTCCTTGAGGAAGCAACTGGATCTTGTCATCACTGTATACCTACCTACCCCACCCCCTCCCCAGCTCAGTGCCTGGCTCACAGTAGGCTTTCAGTTACCCTCTGCAGATCAGTGAAAGCTAGGTGAGTGCCCGGAGTGAAGAAAAGTTGGCAGGTTTCCCACTGATACCAGCTGCTGTTGGTTTCTGAACACTCAAAGCCGCAAATACCTTAGGGCTGGGGGCAATGAACCCAAGGCTGAATTCCAAGTTCAGAAGCAGCGAAGTCTGAATTTAGAACCTAGGAACTTAAACTGCTGCAGGTCCAACTTCAAGCCCCAGTTTTAGACAGAGGCTTGGGAAAGATCTGACTTCTAACCCGGTTCCCCCTCCCCTCCTCCCCTCGATGCTTCTCACAGGAAAGTACACCTGGTCCTGCCAAATCGCACTCTTATATCCTGGCATCCTATCCAGGCTCTGCGAGGATGGAAACTGCGAGGCAGGGGAGGGAAGCGGGCTGTTTGGCCACCACCTCCCTAGTGCTGCAGGCGACCCTGTCACACTAACTCCTGGCAGCCCAGTGAGGTGGACGGCACCGGCCCCACCTGCAGATGAGGGAAATGAAGCTCGGAGGAGTTCCGTGATTTGCTTGCTTCACACTGTGGTAGCCTGGCCACGAAAGAACCAGGATTCCCGACTTCGGGATTCTTTCCACCACACACTTTCGTCCCTAAGGGGTGGGGGGCGGGGGGAGAATAAAATAACCGCGGAAAAGGAACCACTTACATGTGTCTAGCGCTTCCTAGAGGCTACCCAGGATATGCGCCCACCACCCGGCCGGGAGTGCAGAGATTTGAAGTCCAGGTTCTACCCCGGGCTCCGAGTACTACTGCGTGACTTTATGCGAGTGTCCGCCGCCTTCTGGGCTTGTTTTCCCGGAAGCAACTCGGCGCGGATGGAGTGTGTGTGTGCGCGCGCGCGCGCGTTATGTTGTGCGTGTTGTGTTAAGCGTGTGCGTGTTGTCCGGGGGCGGGAGGGGGAGTAGACTAACACCGGGGTTCCCCGAGTTTCGGATCGCCTACACGCTTGTTCCCATCTGGACCCTGTTACCCACCAATTGCGCCCACTATAAAAACTGCCCCTCCGAGGCAAAGCTGTGAACCCCCGCGCCCTTTCCCCCACGGTCCCGGAGGATGAAGTGGGGTGCAACGGAGACTCAGCTGAGCGTCCAGTTTCGGGCAATACAAATCTCTCGGCTTCTACGAGCAGCCAGACGACCCCGCGGACCGTCGCTCCTGAACTTGACCGAGATGCAAACTTCGGAGTGTTCTCAACGTGGGGGGCCGACTCTCGGGAGACCGCCCCTAAACTTAAGTCCCCTTAGGCTCGCCCCCACCTGGGACTTCACAGAGCCACCTTAAGGGCGGTATTCCCGCCCCCCCGGAAGTGCGGGGGGGTGGCAGCGTACTTGGATTCTCAGCCTCCAGCCCCGCGCGGTGGCGGCCGCCGGTGGATGACTTCGGGCCCCACAAGTGGGGAAACAACAACCACCCCTCGCCCGCACCCCTGGCCCAAAACAACTGGCCAGGTTCCCTGGCCTCCCGGGTCCCTGCATCCCCCGCATCCCCGTCCGCAGCCGTGAACTTGAGCCCCCCTCCATCAGAGGTTGCGAGCGTCCGCCCGCTCGCGGCAGCCACCGTCACTAGACAGTCAAACCCCAAGACGTCAGCCCACAATGCACCGGGCGGGCCGGGAAAAACGGCCCGGGGAGGGGACCGGGGAAGAGAGGGCCGAGAGGCGTGCGGCAGGGGGGAGGGTAGGAGAAAGAAGGGCCCGACTGTAGGAGGGCAGCGGAGCATTACCTCATCCCGTGAGCCTCCGCGGGCCCAGAGAAGAATCTTCTAGGGTGGAGTCTCCATGGTGACGGGCGGGCCCGCCCCCCTGAGAGCGACGCGAGCCAATGGGAAGGCCTTGGGGTGACATCATGGGCTATTTTTAGGGGTTGACTGGTAGCAGATAAGTGTTGAGCTCGGGCTGGATAAGGGCTCAGAGTTGCACTGAGTGTGGCTGAAGCAGCGAGGCGGGAGTGGAGGTGCGCGGAGTCAGGCAGACAGACAGACACAGCCAGCCAGCCAGGTCGGCAGTATAGTCCGAACTGCAAATCTTATTTTCTTTTCACCTTCTCTCTAACTGCCCAGAGCTAGCGCCTGTGGCTCCCGGGCTGGTGTTTCGGGAGTGTCCAGAGAGCCTGGTCTCCAGCCGCCCCCGGGAGGAGAGCCCTGCTGCCCAGGCGCTGTTGACAGCGGCGGAAAGCAGCGGTACCCACGCGCCCGCCGGGGGAAGTCGGCGAGCGGCTGCAGCAGCAAAGAACTTTCCCGGCTGGGAGGACCGGAGACAAGTGGCAGAGTCCCGGAGCCAACTTTTGCAAGCCTTTCCTGCGTCTTAGGCTTCTCCACGGCGGTAAAGACCAGAAGGCGGCGGAGAGCCACGCAAGAGAAGAAGGACGTGCGCTCAGCTTCGCTCGCACCGGTTGTTGAACTTGGGCGAGCGCGAGCCGCGGCTGCCGGGCGCCCCCTCCCCCTAGCAGCGGAGGAGGGGACAAGTCGTCGGAGTCCGGGCGGCCAAGACCCGCCGCCGGCCGGCCACTGCAGGGTCCGCACTGATCCGCTCCGCGGGGAGAGCCGCTGCTCTGGGAAGTGAGTTCGCCTGCGGACTCCGAGGAACCGCTGCGCACGAAGAGCGCTCAGTGAGTGACCGCGACTTTTCAAAGCCGGGTAGCGCGCGCGAGTCGACAAGTAAGAGTGCGGGAGGCATCTTAATTAACCCTGCGCTCCCTGGAGCGAGCTGGTGAGGAGGGCGCAGCGGGGACGACAGCCAGCGGGTGCGTGCGCTCTTAGAGAAACTTTCCCTGTCAAAGGCTCCGGGGGGCGCGGGTGTCCCCCGCTTGCCACAGCCCTGTTGCGGCCCCGAAACTTGTGCGCGCAGCCCAAACTAACCTCACGTGAAGTGACGGACTGTTCTATGACTGCAAAGATGGAAACGACCTTCTATGACGATGCCCTCAACGCCTCGTTCCTCCCGTCCGAGAGCGGACCTTATGGCTACAGTAACCCCAAGATCCTGAAACAGAGCATGACCCTGAACCTGGCCGACCCAGTGGGGAGCCTGAAGCCGCACCTCCGCGCCAAGAACTCGGACCTCCTCACCTCGCCCGACGTGGGGCTGCTCAAGCTGGCGTCGCCCGAGCTGGAGCGCCTGATAATCCAGTCCAGCAACGGGCACATCACCACCACGCCGACCCCCACCCAGTTCCTGTGCCCCAAGAACGTGACAGATGAGCAGGAGGGCTTCGCCGAGGGCTTCGTGCGCGCCCTGGCCGAACTGCACAGCCAGAACACGCTGCCCAGCGTCACGTCGGCGGCGCAGCCGGTCAACGGGGCAGGCATGGTGGCTCCCGCGGTAGCCTCGGTGGCAGGGGGCAGCGGCAGCGGCGGCTTCAGCGCCAGCCTGCACAGCGAGCCGCCGGTCTACGCAAACCTCAGCAACTTCAACCCAGGCGCGCTGAGCAGCGGCGGCGGGGCGCCCTCCTACGGCGCGGCCGGCCTGGCCTTTCCCGCGCAACCCCAGCAGCAGCAGCAGCCGCCGCACCACCTGCCCCAGCAGATGCCCGTGCAGCACCCGCGGCTGCAGGCCCTGAAGGAGGAGCCTCAGACAGTGCCCGAGATGCCCGGCGAGACACCGCCCCTGTCCCCCATCGACATGGAGTCCCAGGAGCGGATCAAGGCGGAGAGGAAGCGCATGAGGAACCGCATCGCTGCCTCCAAGTGCCGAAAAAGGAAGCTGGAGAGAATCGCCCGGCTGGAGGAAAAAGTGAAAACCTTGAAAGCTCAGAACTCGGAGCTGGCGTCCACGGCCAACATGCTCAGGGAACAGGTGGCACAGCTTAAACAGAAAGTCATGAACCACGTTAACAGTGGGTGCCAACTCATGCTAACGCAGCAGTTGCAAACATTTTGAAGAGAGACCGTCGGGGGCTGAGGGGCAACGAAGAAAAAAAATAACACAGAGAGACAGACTTGAGAACTTGACAAGTTGCGACGGAGAGAAAAAAGAAGTGTCCGAGAACTAAAGCCAAGGGTATCCAAGTTGGACTGGGTTGCGTCCTGACGGCGCCCCCAGTGTGCACGAGTGGGAAGGACTTGGCGCGCCCTCCCTTGGCGTGGAGCCAGGGAGCGGCCGCCTGCGGGCTGCCCCGCTTTGCGGACGGGCTGTCCCCGCGCGAACGGAACGTTGGACTTTTCGTTAACATTGACCAAGAACTGCATGGACCTAACATTCGATCTCATTCAGTATTAAAGGGGGGAGGGGGAGGGGGTTACAAACTGCAATAGAGACTGTAGATTGCTTCTGTAGTACTCCTTAAGAACACAAAGCGGGGGGAGGGTTGGGGAGGGGCGGCAGGAGGGAGGTTTGTGAGAGCGAGGCTGAGCCTACAGATGAACTCTTTCTGGCCTGCCTTCGTTAACTGTGTATGTACATATATATATTTTTTAATTTGATGAAAGCTGATTACTGTCAATAAACAGCTTCATGCCTTTGTAAGTTATTTCTTGTTTGTTTGTTTGGGTATCCTGCCCAGTGTTGTTTGTAAATAAGAGATTTGGAGCACTCTGAGTTTACCATTTGTAATAAAGTATATAATTTTTTTATGTTTTGTTTCTGAAAATTCCAGAAAGGATATTTAAGAAAATACAATAAACTATTGGAAAGTACTCCCCTAACCTCTTTTCTGCATCATCTGTAGATACTAGCTATCTAGGTGGAGTTGAAAGAGTTAAGAATGTCGATTAAAATCACTCTCAGTGCTTCTTACTATTAAGCAGTAAAAACTGTTCTCTATTAGACTTTAGAAATAAATGTACCTGATGTACCTGATGCTATGGTCAGGTTATACTCCTCCTCCCCCAGCTATCTATATGGAATTGCTTACCAAAGGATAGTGCGATGTTTCAGGAGGCTGGAGGAAGGGGGGTTGCAGTGGAGAGGGACAGCCCACTGAGAAGTCAAACATTTCAAAGTTTGGATTGTATCAAGTGGCATGTGCTGTGACCATTTATAATGTTAGTAGAAATTTTACAATAGGTGCTTATTCTCAAAGCAGGAATTGGTGGCAGATTTTACAAAAGATGTATCCTTCCAATTTGGAATCTTCTCTTTGACAATTCCTAGATAAAAAGATGGCCTTTGCTTATGAATATTTATAACAGCATTCTTGTCACAATAAATGTATTCAAATACCAATAACAGATCTTGAATTGCTTCCCTTTACTACTTTTTTCTTCCCAAGTTATATACTGAAGTTTTTATTTTTAGTTGCTGAGGTTAACATTGCTGCAATCTGAAGTGATTTGAAAATTAAGAAGCAAAGAATTTAGGAAGAGTCAAACTAGAAGTTGTGATCTGAATGAAACAGTCTCCCAATTTCATTAATTCTTTCCCTCTTTCTCCATCTCTATCTCTCTCTCTACTACCTCACCCCCAAATAAACCCCTATGCCTATGGAAACTAACAGTTTAGCATTTTGGGTCTGTCTGTAGCTTATTTCTTAATTTGTTTCTAAAATAATCAACCTTGTTTAAATATAGAATAAGTCTCAAAAGATAGTAATCTAATACTATGGAAAAGATTCACAAGAGAAAACATGAACTAGTACTAACTCAATGATTACATGCGTAAATCAAACCTCAGCTCTGGGGAAATGGGAAACTTGAATTCTACCTACAGATATAACTTAGGAGATCAACAAGGCAGTGCTTAACAAGGGAACAATTTTTTGCTTGGTTGCTTTTCATACCAAGAGCCAGTGTGATTATCAGGCAGCAAAAGCAATTTGATATCCAGGAATATTTCACAAACCACTAATTGAGTCAGGGCTGTTTGCTCATTAGCAGTGTTCTAGTACCCAGTAGGTCTGGGAGTGCTAATATCCTGCCTGTGGCTGTAAATCCAAATACACAAAGAGTTTCTCCTTAGGAGTATATCTAGGAGTGGAAGAGATTGGACAGGCTTGTTAGCTTCGGATCCTTTGTAATAACACTTCTTGAACAAAGGGTTACTGGGAGCAGAGCCCAGTTTGCCAAACTGAATTTGCCGATGTCAGCAACCCGGAAGGTGAGATGATTTTGACCATATGTAGAAATAGCAGAGGGACAATAAAGCATTTTGGGGTGGGGCTCTGTGGAAGCTAAACAAGAGCCAACTAGAAAAAATAAGCAGGCTGGGGAATTAATTACCTGCAAAGGTAGACTAAGCCCAGACAACAGTACAGCACAGAAAAGCCACACCACTCCCCAGTTTGCTTTAGATTTCAGTGTTAAAAAAAAAAAAAGTCTGAAACTCAGGCCTATCCCCATGCTTGATTGTTTCAATTAACATTCTAAATGTATATTCTTGAAATTCTAACCATTCTAACCAAAAGGGGTAGAAAAAAGTAATTGTGGTAGAGGAAATTAACCCATGATCTCTGGTAAATTTTGGAGACAAAAGATTAACTGCTTATAAACACTTAATGGTTAAGCTTATTATGGGCCTTCAATGAGTTAATCTTTGAATTAAGGTAACACTAATAGTTGGAGAAGATGAAGCTGGTGACACATCGTCATTAATCCTCTTAATTTTTTTTACACATATATATATGTTACATATATAAAATAATTCAATCAAGGACATTTAACCCTCTCTGTCTATCAAGACAGAGGGTTCATGAACTCAGTGAAAATGCCCAGAAAGTTGTGTTTGTGTGTCTGTACACACTCTTCTGAGGAGAGAAATTTTTGCTTTTATTCGACCCTCCCAGAGTTCCATGACTCAAAAAAAAGGGTTAATAAACCATGAACTGACCAGCTACATGCCCACTATCAGAAACATATCATTGTATGGATCTAAATCCCATGCTCTTTCACCCCTTCATGTTTCTGCTTGCATGTATTTGCCTGGAATACCTTTCCTTCTAGTTCAACTGATAAATCCTACCCATTCTTCAAGTCTTGGCGTAAGTGACACCTTCTCTGTAAAGCTTCCCTTAGTAACTCCATCTTCAAAAGGAATGAATAATTCCCTAATGAGCATGATAACATTTTATCAAAAATCCTATGATAGCACATACAAAAATGTATTATGAACCTCTGTGTCTCCTGGTCAGAACCCTATCTTCTTCATCAATGGACTCCCAAACTTTTAATGTAGCGCCTGGCATATAGTAGATGTTCATAAAATAAATGTTTGATGACTGAACGAACAAGTGAGCTCAAACCCTCCTCCAACATAATTCCAAGTCTTAGTTTCTTCTAGTAAATATACTTCATTCATTTCCAGGTGCATAACTCGTGATGGATCAACCCTCAAAGTCAACCTGGCCAACCCTCAAGTTCTAAAGCCCAGTACTTAGTGAGTGTTCTTAAAAGAATTAAGCTGTTAGCACATTCATACATCCAGCCACACACAGTGTCCCTTCCTGCCTCCACTAATGCAGGTGAGCATCTTCTTACATTAAATGGGTCTGCCTGAAACATTAGTTTTGAAGGTGGAAATGGAGCCTATGTGTGTCCTTGGGCAGGCACAAAAACAGTTCCAGATGTGTCTTCATTTAAAACAACCAGCTTTATTGGTAATGAGAGAGGGGACTTTCTGTTAGTAAAATTAGACATATTTCAGGGGTCCAGAAGTTAGTACCCAATGTTTGCTTGCTGAGACAGGAATCATGCTAATCCATCTATTCCTCCATGTCATTTCATTACTAGAGAAGTGCATTCATGAACCAAGGAAAGAGGCCATGACTTCTGGTTTGATTGTCCCTTGCCTCCTCCACCCACCTCTATGGTGGTCAAGTAGGATCTCATAGAAGAGGGGAAGAGGGTTAGCAGCTGGGATGGCCCCAGAATGTAAAACTATTCTTTCCTAACTCTGGAACCTAACTTGAGTTGTTTGGTTTTGGACTTTTGAACATCATAAAGCAGGGCATTCCTCTGGTCCTGAGTCTCTTTGAGGCCCTCTGCTTGTCTGTGGGGATTCAATGATGAGCAAAATATAATCCCTATTCTCAAGGAACTCACATTCTGGTAGAGTGGAATGTGGAGATGAAATAGAAACTATTCTAAAGGCACAAGATATATGCTATAAGAAAAAGGTGCCAGATGGGAGCAGAAGGAGACATTATTAGAAAATGCTTTATGGGAGAGGTGACATTTGAGCTGATCCAGTGGGCCTTACCAGGCAGAAAAGATTGGAAAGAAACGTGCATGCAAAGGCAGAGAAGTATGAGAAAACGTCTTGTGTTTAGGGACCTGAAGGCTGCTTAGAGAAGCTCGGAAGAAAGATACGAGAAGAAAACTGAAGGGAGAAGAGGCAGGGAAGTTGAAGGCTTGGGTTGAGATTTAATATCCATTCCATGTTATCCTATAGGTGACGGAGAAAGCAGGTGAATTTGAAACAGAGTGGGGACATAATACCCTCAGCTTAAGAATGATTCATGCTGGCAACAGTTTGGAGGATGGATTGGTGAAGAAGAAGCTAGGTAAGGGGTGAAATACCAAAGATAGGTTTTCAGTTTTATTTAGAATGCCTGTGGTATTTAAAGTAGTCTTACAGTTGGGGGACAAATGGGAAGAAGATGGCTTGGTCCAGGCTACATCATGCCACCTTTCTTCTTATGTAACTTTCTGATGAGTTAGGCCTAAAGAGGGATACCAGGAGGTTTGCTTTCCTCTTATGCTACCTGCTCCATGCTTACATTTTCCTCTCCATTGGGTCCATTTGATACCTGAAAGAAAATCTTCTCACAAAATGGTCTAGAGCCCACCTGTTCAGAGTCAGGAAGCTCAAATAAACAGATGTGAATGAAACAGACCTGCACCCGTGTAGGCCAGGCCTTCCAGGGTTATAGCACAGAACTGGTCTTCACTGCTGCAAGACCAAACCTGACTTTATCTGGTCACCTAGAATTGATTAAGCTCAATGAGGCTAGTTGACCCAAACTTTATAAACTCTTTGATGTATAAACAAATTATGTTGAGGGAACTGATAATAACATTTTACATTCCCATAGCACTCATTTTCTACCACAAGTAATATTGAAATCCTATTTTGTGCCAGAAACCAGGAACACAGAAGAGTGAAAGCAACAGGATGCCTTCCCTCATGGAGTTTCTCATCTAGCTAAAAGGAACAGTAAATAAACACACAAGGCCAGGCATGGTGGCTCACACCTGTAATCCCAGCACTTTGGGAGGCTAAGGCAGGCATATTACTTCAGGTCAGTAGTTCGAGACCAGCCTGGCCAACATGGTGAAACCCTGTCTCTCTGCTGAAAATACAAAAATTCGCTGGGCATGGTGGTGGGTGCCTGTAATCCCAGCTACCCAGGAGGCTGAGGCAGGAGAATCACTTGAACCCAGGAGGCGGAAGTTGCAGTGAGCTGAGATGGCGCCACTGCACTCCAGCCTGGGCGACAGAGAGAGATTCCGTGAAGAAAGAAAGAAAGAGAGAGAGAAAGAGAGGGAGGGAGGGAGGGAGGAAGGAAAAGAAACACACAAATAAATATATGATTAAAGTGCAATGAAGAAAAAGAACTGGGCACTAATAAAGAGAAGATCTAAATTGGGTTGGCAACAAAGTATTTCTGGAGAACTACTTGAGCTGAGAAATCTTAGACTAAGAGTTCCCCATGTGAAGAGCAGATGAATAGGAGTGAGACATCCCAGGTGAAGAATCAGCATGAAGGAGAGCCTGGGAAAGACTCTGGTGCACCCTAGTAGTTATGAGAAGGCCTGAATCCCTGGAGCATACTAAGCAAAAGAAAGAGTGATGAGCAATGACATTTGTACTCACCCATCCATACTCTTGTAGTTTCCAAAGCTCTTTTGCCTCTTCTGTCTCATGTTATTTTCACCACTGTTCTCGGGATGCCCATTGATAGTAGTCATGTTTCATGGGAGCAGAAGCTGAGGCTCCCAGTGAGTTTTAAGTGCTTTTGTTGAGGCCATGGCTCCAGTAACTGGTGGGGCACAATTTGGTCCCCAGGCATCAAGAACCATATTTTTCACCTATATTGTTCCAAGAAACAGAAATCCTGGTGACCTTGGGTCTCTTACTCAGTGCACACCCCTACGTCTACATCAAGGACCCTGAGGACTGAATTAGTTATCAGAAGGTTCTTTGATGTGCACAGCATCTGAGCAAAGGTAATCAGATAGTCTCCTGGGATATTTTGTCCATGCCGCAGCAATGTCTAATGAACTCTCCTTGCCTCTCTGCAAACTCCCCCTCTCTGGAGAGAACGAACACTTCTGTGCTGAGAAGCCCTGAGAGTTTCTTGCTATACAAACTTCTTTCATGTACATCACTAAAAAACATTGTTTGATGATTGCCTCATTATTGCTTCAAACAATTGTGTTACCAGATGACCAATACAGTTATTGCCTTCTTAGGTTGTAGGTACTCACTGGTCCCCTGGACAGAATTTGAATATTTCCCAAATATCCTGAGGATTGTACATTCATCACCTTGGGCTGATGACTAATCTCTTCCAGGGTGTATTGATTGATCTTAGGTTCATGCTTGAAGGGGGAAACTTTTCCTGATATTATGTTATCCTGGAGAAAAATGGGCAGGCATCTGAATTGTTCTATTATTGACCATTCTACCAGTTAAGATGTGTGCAGGGGCCAGCAACAGAACATGCAACGTAAACCAGAAGACCAGCTATGAAACAAGTCCACGAGTGGCTAATGTAGTGGCTTAATGACATAATCACGGGTTCAGGTGCCTCCTATCTTTTCATTTCACCATTCTCAGTGTGTCAAGGAAGTTTCTTGTGAGCACTCAAGATACCTGCAGCATTTCCGGCATCATAAGTCAACACAATAGTCACCAGCAATGCAGGAATGTTTACTATCATCTTTCTGTTTTTATTAACAAGAGAAACTTTCCTAGCGGCTCCCCACCTCCACCCCAGTAGACTTGCCCTTTTGTCCCATTGGACAGGAGCAGGTCATATTCCTAGACTCAAAATCATTCATGACTAGGAAATGAACCCACCATGATTGCTTGTACTTTGCCATCTCCTACCTCCTTGAACTTAAGCGAGAGGACTTCTGACTTGCATCAGCCAATGAAATGCAAACAATGGTGACATATCACACCAAGATAGGACGCCTTGAGAGCAACTACAAGATTCAACATCTTCCCTTTTCTTTGCCTTGGCAACTGTGGACACACAGGAATGCAATGTCCATCAGCCTGTGTCCTTAAACGATAGTGATGTGGACAGAGTCCACTCTCCTCTCCCACAACTCCTGACCACCAGCATACCCACAGTGACCATTTAGCATGAGCAAAATCCCCCAAGAATTTGTTGCTTTAAGGCACTGAATTTGAGGGTTGCTTGTTCTTATAGCATTACCTAGTATATTCTAACTCTAGTAGGAACCAACAGTAGGAACGATATCCTCTGGTAGGAACCAATAATGCTTGCTACAAGCATAATAAAAACCGACACGTATATAATATTTATAATAGATACCATTTGCTACATGTCTCCTATGTAGCAGGCATTGTGTTAGGACTTCCAGGGTTGGTGTTAAGGGGAAATGGAGCATCAGGTCTTGTTCAACTTTAGGAAATAAGTGACTTGTAGAAGCTCAAGCTGAATCCAACTCTTCCTGACTCCAAAGAACTGGCTTTGTCCACACAGGACCTTGCTCTTGAATAGTACTGCCATGTAAATTTCTATCTCATTGAACTCTGCAACTTCTCTGCCACACAGGCACTGTTATTTCATTTTGTATATGAGGAACTGAGATTTAGAGAAAAAAACTATCTTGCCAAACTTCAGAGCTAGAAAGACACTAGAGCCTCTGCCCTTCCCACTGTTCCTCACTGCACTTCTGAACAAACACATCAGGAATTGAGGTATTATGAGTTAGGGGAGAGAATTGAGGTATTATGACTCAGAGGCATGCAGATTTTGGAGTGAAGTGCCCCTGCGTTAAATCTAGCCTCTGCCACTTGTAGCTGGGGAGCATGGAGCCAGTCCCTTACCATTGATTGCTAATCCTCAATTTCTTTCTTTGCAAAAATGAGGCCAATCATGGCTGCCACAGAAGGTTGTTGGGAGGAACATACATCTAAAGCACTTATATACAGCAGGCACAGAATAATTAGCTAGTTTTTACTGTCGACTTGTTAATTTAAGAAAAAAAAATCAGGAATACAATCAGGAATACATACACACACATACACACACACACACACACAGCTGAAATAAAAACATTTCCCATTAAGATTCAACGAGGTCTCACAGGGCCTACTTCTTGGTCATATAAGGGCTGGCAGGTCCTCTCTGTGGGCTGGAGAAAAGTTTTGTTTCCCCAGCTGCACTCACGGGGGAATACTCTGCAGGCACTGCATTGTGAACCTGTTTGGCTTGGCTCAGAGGCCTGTCAGCACATTCAGGAAGTGAAGTCAGAAAGAGGCAGGATTTCAAACAGAGCCAGCTGCACACAAATGCCCAGGCAGTGAAATGCCTTATTCGAGCAGGGTGCCTATCAGCCTGGCTTGCCCTAGGTGCTGTCAAAGAAGCCTCTGAGAGTGGCTCTGTGCCAGAAAAGGAAGAAGCAATCACCAGCACCCAGGCTAAGGCCATAGCTTCCACAACAAGGTGGCCTGGGGGCTGTGCAGGGGTCATCTCAGCCAGTCTCCTGCCTTAGGCTCTCTGAGCTTGCTCTAAACCTGAGCTCTCTGAACTTGCTAGGTGGAGGGCCTAATGTTTATCTCCTGGGAGTATTGAAGTCAAGGTGTGAGATTGGGAGAAGAGATGAGGGAAAGGACAGCAAAATGAAGGAATGGGTTACCAGTGTTGGGGAGGGGAGGGAGAGAACTGGATGAAGTGCCTGAGAGGATATGGAATCCTGAGAAAGAACCATGCTGCCACTCTCCAGCCATATTCGCATGCCGAGGAAACAGCATAGTGGCTAAGATCTGAATTCTAATATCAACCTCGAGCTGTCAGTGGGAAAATATTTCACTTGTCTAAGCCTCAGTTGCATTCACTGTGAAATGGAGATAATATAATATCTACTCCCATTGTGTTGCTGTAACGATTAAATAGGTCAATATATGTAAAAGAGCTTACTTAACCTAGTGCCAGCAAATCATAAATGTATCAGTTAGAATTCCATGGTTGCAAGAGGCAGGAAACTTAGTTTAAATGGAAAGGATTTTTATTGAAATATATCAGTCAAAAACCATCATAGATGTAGCTCCAGACATGGCTATATACAGGGTTCAAATGGTATCATCAGGCTTTGATTTCTGTCTGTCACTCAGCTTGCTCTGGAAAGTGTTAGCTTCATCTTCAGTCTCCATGTGGTAGTGTCCAGAAAGTCCCAACTCTCCATCCATAGGGGTCAGAGGGCTACAGCAATTTCTCACAGCCTCCCAGAATTATGCTTCATTGATCTAATTGGGTCACATACACATCCCTGAACCAATCAGTATGGCCAAGGGGTGAAGTGGGATATATTGACCAGCTTAAGTGTAGGTCAAGTGCCCACCTCTGAAACCAAGGTTGTGGAGTCATTCAAAGCACATGGCCAGACAGGGAGGAAAGAGGGTATCTTCAAAGGAAAATCAGGATCTAGGAGGGAGTAGATACTGGGGGGATCAAAAGAAAATGTCAACTACCAGAGCTCATCCATTTAGTGATTATTGTTGCTGTTATTATTATCAAACCTTGCAGACCAGGCTAGAGGTATCTACTGCCTTTCTAAAATTGGGTCACAATGCATTACTCATTATTTACTTTTTGGTCTCTCAATGGGCAATTCTGGTCAATGTCTTCTTAAAGTCTTATCTTAGGAAAGTGAATATCGGGCCAGGCGCAGTGGCTTGCACCTGTAATCCCAGCACTTTGGGAGGCCGAAGTGGGTGGATCATGAGGTCAAGAGATCGAGACCAGCCTGGCCAACATGGTGAAACCTCGTCTGTACTAAACATACAAAAATTAGCTGGGTGTGGTGGTGCACACCTGTAGTCCCAGCTACTCAGGAGGCTGAGGCAGGAGAATTGCTTGAACCAGGGAGTCGGAGGTTGCAGTGAGCTGAGATCTTGCCACTGCACTCCAGCCTGGCAGCAGGGCGAGACTCCGTCTAAAAAAAAAAAAAAAGAAAAGAAAAGAAAAGAAAACGTGGTTCCTTCAGGGGGAGGGGACAAGGTAGGAGGGGAGGCCACAGGGGCAGGTGGTTCCAGATAGTATGTGGTTTAACTTGCCATATCGGAATATAGTACCCTCAAGTCGTCAACAAACTGAGCAGCCAGATGATGGTGAGCAAAGAAAACCCAGGTTTTTTCTGAAAATCACACTAGTTCATTCTTTTTTTTTTTTTTTGGATAACCAAAGTAGTTTTGGTTTTTTTTTTTAATTATTATACTTTAAGTTTTAGGGTACATGTGCACAATGTGCAGGTTCGTTGCATATGTATACATGTGCCATGCTGGTGCGCTGCACCCACTAACTCGTCACCTAGCATTAGGTATATCTCCCAATGCTATCCCTCCTCCCTCCCCCCACCACAGCACAGTCCCCAGAGTGTGATGTTCCCCTTCCTGTGTCCATGTGTTCTCATTGTTCAGTTCCCACCTATGAGTGAGAATATGTGGTGTTTGGTTTTTTGTTCTTGTGATAGTTTACTGAGAATGATGATTTCCAATTTCATCCATGTCCCTACAAAGGACATGAACTCATCATTTTTTATGGCTGCATAGTATTCCATGGTGTATATGTGCCACATTTTCTTAATCCAGTCTATCATTGTTGGACATTTGGGTTGGTTCCAAGTCTTTGCTATTGTGAATAGTGCCTCAATAAACTGCACAGCAAAAGAAACTACCATCAGAGTGAACAGGCAACCCACAAAATGGGAGAAAATTTTCGCAACCTACTCATCTGACAAAGGGCTAATATCCAGAATCTACAATGAACTCAAACAAATTTACAAGAAAAAAACAAACAACCCCATCAAAAGGTGGGCGAAGGACATGAACAGACACTTCTCAAAAGAAGACATTTATGCAGCCAAAAAACACATGAAAAAATGCTCACCATCACTGGCCATCAGAGAAATGCAAATCAAAACCACAATGAGATATCATCTCACACCAGTTAGAATGGCAATCATTAAAAAGTCAGGAAACAACAGGTGCTGGAGAGGATGTGGAGAAATAGGAACACTTTTACACTGTTGGTGGGACTGTAAACTAGTTGAACCATTGTGGAAGTCAGTGTGGCGATTCCTCAGGGATCTAGAACCAGAAATACCATTTGACCCAGCCATCCCATTACTGGGTATATACCCAAAGGACTATAAATCATGCTGCTATAAAGACACATGCACACGTAGTTCATTCTTAAGGCAGAACCATTCCTGTGGTAGTTGCCTCTGCACTACCTTATTTAAAACTGACAATAGCCCATCAAGGTAATTATCACAGGCCTGTTCTCAGGCAAGGAAACTGAGACCTAGAGTCATTACAGAGAATAGCTAAGGCCCCATGACTGCAGGAGGCAGGAGAAGGATTTGACTTTAAGTTCAAGCTCTTGATCATGAAATCAAACCACCTCTGAAGAAGAAAATGAAAAACATTTAAAATTTTATAAAATTCCAATGGCTCAGCAACATCACACTCCCTAGTGATACCTTGACACATAGTAGGTTTACAACAAATGCCGATATTTTTTCCTTCATGTAGAAGGCGAATGGGGAATTACAGGGGCCTTTTTATTTTCTCTCTCATCCATATCTGGGCTTTCTGCCCCTGCTGTTTTAAATTCCATTTGAAATGAAAAAAATACATAACTAAAAACCATCCTCTGCCAAGCCATTTGGATTTAAAACAGATGGGCAGAAACCTGGAAGGAGTCAGGATTCTCCCTAATATATCAAATATTGCAGCCAGCGCCCATCTGAGAGGCTTTGCTGCATTTTGTAAAGAAAACAGGCCATATTTTGAAAACGGATGAGTAAGGTTCACTGTTTTGACTTGTTTCAAGGTCTGGAGGCCAGGGTTGGTTTTGATCTGACAGGTCTGAGTCTTCAACCGTAGGTTATTTCTGTGCAAAGATTCGAAGAGGCAGCACGCTCACCAGGCACAGACCTGAAACCGTGTCCCTTTGAAGACTTCTTCGGTGGGTCTTAAGTGGGATTTGGTGCCCATTGTGGAATCACAGTAATGAACCCAAAACTAATGTTTTTCATTACAACAGCAAATCAGTCAGCCCCTCTGTTTGCTCAGGTGTGCAGCTGTGTGGCCCATGCCCTGATCTCTATACAATAACAAAATAAATATTTTTCGAAGGAAGAAATTAAAGATGAAGGAATGCCACAACTGATGGGGTGGGGGAAGCGAGAGATAGGAGACTCTGGTCTCTTTAAAGTAAGATAATATATTTGCTATATAATCTCTTTACTAATTAGTAAAGAGTCCGTGAAGAAAATAAGAATCTACTAACGAAGTGGCAGGATTCATCCAATCAATTACTAAACACATCCCAACTCCGCAGGGGGCTCCTTGGACTCGAAAAACAGTGCCGGTAGATGGCGCCAGAGGGCAGGTTCCTTGCTTCCCGGGATTTAAAGGATGAGAAAAATCCCAGCCAGCAAATTGGGCTGGGACAAAAGTATGGGTGTCGTCCGCCTTCAGAGGGGACCAAGTATAAACACATTTTTTTTTAACAGAGTGGGGAATCTTATGTGCTGGAAACGTCCTTGCTCCACCAGCCGGAGGCCAGAAAGCGAGCGCCAAACTCTGTTTGCAGGACAGCTCTTATTTCAGCAATGAAGACTAAGGTTCAGCAGGTAGGAGGCCTTGAGAACTAGCACCGAATTTCCAAGAGGCCCACGCTGCGATGGAGCTGCGGAGTGCTTGGCTCAGGGAACTCACTGGATAATGAGACAAGAGACACGTGCGATATTGGAATAAACCCATCCAAACTCATCTACATTAACAGGGGCACCAGCTTACTATGCTGGAGAAGATTTGAAGATCAAGCGTTAGACAGAACTGAGTTGAAATCTTAGATACATGACTTTGGGTAAGTCTCTTTCCTTCACTGGGCAACAGTTTACTTATGCATGGAATAGGTGTCATCGTTGTAAAGGAGGGAAGTGTTGATTTTTGGAAAACGCTTAGCACAGCACTCAATAGTCAGCAACTCTTCCAATCATATCATTAAAACCCATTCATGTGGGAATCAGGATCATGCTGGGTGGGAAAAACAACCTTCTCATTTGTGTTATCCCTGTGCCTATATGTGCTGATTCTCCATGGGCTTATCACAGTATTTTGCATTTTTAAACTTCATGCAGGCCATTAGGTTGGCTACTCCTTTAATGTAAGGGCTACTTTGTAAAGTTCTCTTTGCATCCCCAGCATCTATCACGGTCCCTGGAATGTGATAACATCTGTTAAATACAAAGTTTTTCTTAGGAACAAGTTGTTCCAACCCACCAAGCTGAGTGATTCAGATACAGTATTATGGCCACATCTTTTCCTTCACTGTGCTCAGCAAAGAAAGAAAATACTACAAACTCAGTGATGAAAATGAATTTTGAATTTTTAGCCAAAGACCAAATGGGAGCCAGATGCTGAGCAGCCATCTTCAGGAATGGCCAACTCAACCAGCCAAGGCTCAAAATAAATTCCAAGACGGAATTACAACCTTAGAAGCAATTCTATGATTTTGGTGTCATAGCTGAAGACTTGGACATATGGCATTCTCATCCATGCATGCCAAAAAGAGCGATGGAGATGGAAAGGAGGGAAGGACCTGGACGGAAGCAAATGTCGGGAAGCCAACAAGATCAGGGATGTCAAGCTGGGGCCAATACATAGGAAAGGTGGAGGCCATGGGTTGGCTATCATGAGTCATATAGACTTGGTCACTTAGTAGCCCTTTGATTGGGTAAAGTTACTTGTTTGCTGAGAGGCTTAATCTCTTCATCTATAAAATGGGGTGTATTAGTCAGGATAGGTTAATCTGTGCTGTGGTAACAAACTGAAATCTCAGTGACTTCACAGAACAAAAATTAATTTTTTACCCACCCAAAGTCAAGTCAGTGGGAATCCTCCTACATCCAGTGACTTAGAGATCCCATTTTCTTCTATCTCGTGACACTACTATCTCATCATATGGCTTCCAATGTTACTGTGTCAAGAAAGAGAGAGCTGGAGAAGTTATACTGGCTCCTAGGTGCCTCAGCACACAAGCAATGTATGTAATTTCTGCTTGGAGCTCATTGGTCAGAATAAGACACATGGCCCAACTCAACTGCAATTAAGACTGGGAAATGTGGAAGAGTGGTAGATATTTGGGGAACACTAAATATGCCTGCCCCACAGGGCAATAATTAACTCGATCAGAATTGGATTTCATTGCATAAAACAGAGCAGCTAAATAACTCTTTTAATGGCTTTAAGGAGTTAGAGATTTATTTTGCCTGTTATAAAAAGTCTGGAGGAAGGCACTGTAGCAGCTCCACAGCCATCAGGGTCATAGGCTCCTTCTCTGTTTCTGTTCCACCATTCTTCGCATATGGCTTCCATCCTAAAGTTACTTCATGGTTACAAGGTGCCCTCCAGCTATCATGTCTACACTGCAGCCAATATTTCACAGCAATAAAAGGCACCCTATCAGCATTAAAGAGCTTTGTCTGAAGCTTACCCAGCAACTTCTATTTATATTCTTTGGCTACTCCTAGTTGCAAGGAAAGCTGGGAAATGTAGTCTTTAACATCTGTGAATGGGAGAATGAATACTGGGTAGGCAACTAGCAGTTCATACCAAAATAATATTTAATTCATGGGTTTGTGATGAGTACTGTACAAAAGTTAAAAGCACTGCTCAGGACCTGATCTTTGTAAGTGCCCGATATATGTTAGTTGTGGGGGTCTTTTTTCATTCTTGTTTGTATTAACCAGGTCATCATTTAAGAAACCAGACTTTGGTGACGGCATCTCAGGGACCTGTCAGGGAAATTGATGAGTCTCTCATCTTAGTAGGGAGAACATGGAAGAGCACAGCAGGTTATAAGAGCACCAGGCCTTGGGTTAGGGATTAAGACAGGGAAATGGTCAACACTCAAGAGGAAGGACCAACACAAAATGTCATTCTGCTGGGCTGGGCCAAGCCAGCAGGGAGAAGGAAGGAGGGCAGGCAAAGAGGCAGAATATGGCAGCTATAGGTTTTCCTGAGGTTAACTTTGTTTGAGAGATGTCATTGGCAGAGAAGATAATTCAAGAAAATATTGTGAAAGACCAGAAATTGTCCCAGTGACTGCCTCGGTTGGCACCTGTAAAAGTCAGCATCTCTTGCACTCTTAACTTTGCATCTTTCCCCTTTCTACTCACTGACCTCACTCCATCTCTGCAATGTCACCTCACCTCTTCACTTGATTTCTATCCCCACAAATCTCAGCCCTTCTTACTGCCATTGCTTTTTCCCTCTTTTATTCAGCCTGACTACTTACTTCCTGAGTACTTACCATGAGCCAGACATAATTTTTTGTACTGGGGATACAGTGGGGAATAAGATAGGCAAGGTCCCTTGTTTTATGAAGTCTATGTGATGCTTTGGCCTCTTTCCTCCTTGGAATGATGCCTTCTAGGTAATTCCTCTGGAACTTCTGGAAGCCCCCAGGATTTATCCTTTGGTATCCTGCATGCAACTCACCCACCACCTCTTTAGTCCTATTCCTGAGTATGAAATCAAACCTCATAGTCACTACAACCCAGATATTAGGGAGATGACTTAATTCTAAGTCCCACCCAGTAAAAAATCGAGACTCTTCATACCTCACTTTAGAGTTGGCTCAGAAACAGGGCAGGGTTAAGCCTATGGGTGGAGGCATTAATGGCCTCACCTGGGAAAAGCTGGAGAAGAAAACAGGTATAATTAACAAGGTAGGAGAGACCAACCTGTATAATTTCAAATATTTGGGTAGAAAAGTGAATAGCTTCTTTTGTCAGTTAGGGTTCTTGATTGCAAGCAACATAAATGGACTCTAGGTAACTTAAATAGAAGAGGTGTACTGGAAGGATATGGGGCATTGCAAATTAGATTTGAAGACGCTGAAGTATCAGGCCTCAGAAAGAACAGGATCCAAAGCAGCTCAGGGAATTTGTTTGAGTTCCATGTCTCTGTTAGAGAAAATGATCCCCAGTCATATGTCTATGCTTTTTAACCATATCCAAGAGACAAATTATTCGAAGAGAGAGGGATATTATGGTCCTAGTTTGAGTTACATTTCTACGTCTTCCCATCTGTAGCCCAAATGACAATTTCTACCAAGTCTGTAAGCAAAGGAACCTGGTAGTTTGTTCCCCAAACCAAAATTGAAGTATGCCTGCCAGAATGGGAAGTGAGTGCTGGGCAGGCAGATAACTCAGCTGTCTACCACTCCACTCTAGATAATTTTCTTATTTTCAAACCTATGGGTTTAAGAACATTTTATGAGCTTCCATAAGAATAATTCCTTCTGAAAACATTTTCAATTGTGGGAATCAAGACTGGCTCAGTCCTTAATAGTTGCAATAAACTAGATGCTTAGGCTGGGAATTTGGAGTGGGGCTGATAGAAATAACAATTATAGGTGATTTAACAATCCAAAAATATATTTTATTTTTGTATTGTTTGGGCTTTTACAATCTATTCTACATGTTTATAATTATAATTTTGTTATATTTTAAAAATCAGTAATATAGTCACATGGTTTAGTCACCTTCCTCCATCCTGCTGCCTAGAATGTGGATGTGTCATTTTGAATCATGAAGGCAAAACCCTTGGAATGGCAGAAAAGTGCACTGGAAGGAACTAGGATCTGATGACTTTATGCAATGGGGACATTATGCCAGCCCTGTCCTGTATTGCTCTAGATTTTTATGTAATAGAGAAATAAGCCACTCTCACTTGGCTTTTTTCTGTTATAGCCAAGACTAATCCTAACTGATTCCCTAAAGTTGCACCACCAATAAGTGATGGAGTCTTGATTCTAATTCAATTCCAGGGCCCGGATTTGGGTGAGAAAAGAGGGTGACCCAGAGGGCAAAATTTAAGGAGGCACTCACTTACAGGATTGTGCAAGTGCTGACTCTGTGCCTGTATGACCCTGAGAGTAGGTGCCTCCTGAAATTTTGCCCCTTAGGCACCTACCTTACCCCAGAGGCTCAGCTTCCAGAACCCAGGCTCTTTCAGCCTCAACACACTGACAGGACAAGGCCCAAGGTTGAATCAACCTATTGCTACATCACCATGAAAAAGTAACTGGACTTAGTCAGAAATTTATAATACATTTTTTTGACATTGACTATAAAATGTAAGAGTCAAAAAGTTTCTGAAGCCTCCATTCCATAGCACCCCTGCCATTCTGAGAGCTAGCTTTTATCATTTGCTGGCATGAAAGTGAAGAGCCCTTCTGAAATAACTCACCCTCTCATCCACTCTCCAAGCAGGCAATCTTGTTTATATATCATTTCTCCCACATGAATCATTTGTAGCAAGAGTACAGCTTCCACTTGTCCATGAGAAACGTTCAAAACAATCTTTTCTACTCTACATAAAACCTCAGGAGTAACAATAGGCATTCAGAATGAGGCTGCTATTTGTCAGCCTCTCAAAGTCACGGAACAAATGAAAGTAACTATGAGCCATCAAAAATCATGTTGGGAGAAAAAAAGTTCCTTCTGGTAATCGCTCATTTTTCTGAGCCCCCACCACCCCCCGCCTTCTTCAAAACTGGCTTTTATATTATGCTTCCAGCAGAAACCTCTCTAGTTCCTTCTGCTTCTAGTTCCAAGGTGTTATTTTCACATAAAGCTTCCTGAGATCTGTGCAGAGTCATCATAGGGAGAGGTAGAGGGCTAGTGTGGGGTGCAGGGTTAATTGCCATTTGCATCTTAGGGATCAGAACCCTAAGTGAAAGGTTAGGGGAAAAGGTAGAGTCATTTCTTAATATTTCGTTTATTTGATATGCTGAATTTGTGTTGAGTTCCACAAAGAATTTCCAAAGAATAAATTTTCTGCAGAATCCCTGCAAACCCTTTGAGAATAGAGAAAGGGTAGGGAAGAGACAGGGGCTGGAGAAGTCAACATAAGTAGAGAATGTGGTCTAGATGGTGGCTCGTGAATATCAGACCCTATCCCAAAGGCTTTACGTTAATCCTCACAGCCCACCTTCAAGGTGTTTTTAATCTTCATTTTACAGGTGGGGAAAGTGAAGCTTGGAGAGATTAAGTAACTTGTCAAAAATCACACAACAAAGAATGGCAAGCAGAGATCCAAACTCAGATGAATCTGACTTGGTATCTTTGCTCTTTCAGGTGTTGCCTCGTTGTCTGTGAAAGCTCAGTCAATTTCTTGTTAGAGGAAAGATCAGCATGATGTGAGGAATCAGGCGATTAAGGATCTTGTCCCAGCAGGAGACAGAGCAAAGCTTTCCATTTCCCTGGACCTCAGCGTTCTCATCCGTGTAATGAAAGAGTAGGGCTAGATGGTTCTTAAAGTACTTCTGCTCTCTGATGTATGAGTGTCCATGTCTACATTCATTAAAGGCATCCAACAAAAGAATTAAAATAACAGGAAGGGTGAGCCACAGGCAGGATCCCTCCCTGTGGGTCAGGAGTCCAGGAAATGCCAGAGATAGCCACTGCAGGATAAATAAACTGAGCTTGATATTTTTTGCACTCTCTCATTTTCTCATCACCTTCTTCAGCCCTTGTCTCTACCATCCAGGTATCCTGGCCCTGGCTTTACCACCTTTAGTGCTCCCTCCCACTCGTAGTACCCTATGTGGGCCTTCTTGGATGCCTGCAATGCTGGTTAAAAGGTATAACTTTTTATCTAGCCAAATGGATAGCTATTTTTTGCAAATTATAAGAAGCTGCCCCTCCCACCTGGGTAGACATGACCCTACATGGGGATATGTGTCTTGGCAAGCAGAGAATGGGCTGACTTTCAGCTTCTGCCTTTGTTAATTAGCCAGATGCCCTGGTGTAGTACACAACTCACACAACTGTACACAGCAGTCTTAGAACAAAGCCAAGTGGTGATTCATTTTAGTGAATGGTATTCCATCCATCCAATTATGCATGGCAGAGAGGAACCTAGAAGATATGTTTGACTCTTTTCTTTTTTTCTCCTCCATGTTCAGCCCATTATATTGTTGATTTAGCTCCTATTTATCTCTCAGATTTTTTCATTGCCCTCCATCACCAGCATCCTAGTCAAAAGAACATCATCTTCCTTCTGAACTCAACACTAGCTTGCTAACCGGCCTCCCCCCATGTACTCTGTCCTGCCTTGTGTTCATTCCCATTATTGCAGCCAGAAGATATATGAACTCAACTGTTTTAACACAGAGAGCAGGTTGGAGGATCTTTCCAAAATATAAATATGATCATCACCCTTTCCTGCTTAAAAATTCTCAGCAACTTCTCTTGACTCTTAGGATAAAGACAAGATTCTTTGACTGGGCCTGCTATATCATCAAACCCCTTCTTACTCCTCCAGCTTCATCCTGCATCACCTTCCTTTCATCTCTCTTCTCTCCAGCTCTTCTGGAAAGGAGCCCACACACATGTTATTTCCTCCACCTGGAACCTGGTCTCCCTCCACCTGTTAACTGCTATTCACACCAGGAAGCCTCATGCCTCAGTAAGGCCTTCCCTGATCCTTCTGACATGGCCAACTCCTCTTATAAGTCCTTTAGCAACAAGGGCCCTCTTCCCTTTGCAGTACTCATCACAGTTACACTCCTGCATGTATTTGTGAGGTCACTGAAACTGCCTCTCTCTCCAAAAAGGCTGTAAATTACATGGGACAGGGCCAGCACTCATCACTGTATTTCTGACTCCTGTCATAGTGGACGGTACATAGTCCAGACTTGAAAATATATGCTGAGTGAATGCAGGTTTGCCTGGCTTGGAGAAACCAGTATCTACCAGAAGCCACCCTTTGACAATCCCCAAAGTGATCTACAAGTTTAACTTTCCCAATTTGTGAATGTAAAAGGAAAGGGAAGAAGAGCAAACCACAGAAAATTAGCAGTTGACAAACAGCTCCCTCATAACTAGCCAATTCTGAGTGCATCTTCTATAAAGCATTCTGGCTAGCTGGCTTCTAGCAAATATTTGTTGAATTGATGGAAAAAATGTAATCATTCAAGTCCCAGATTCGGTGCTACATCTGCCAGGAAGCCATTTCTGATGTGTACCAGTCTCCAGAAACAATTTCCCTGTCCCCTAAATGTTCAAAGCATTTCATCCTTCCCTTTCTGATAATACCTTTTATTTTGCAATAGAGTTATTTAGGTATTTGTCTCTCTCTTAGAAATTTAGCACTGGTTCTACTCCGGGCTCTCAGCAAAGGGCATCCGATGGGTATTTCATTGGAAAGGTTCTCTCAATGAGAATTCGTGAGCTCAGATTCATGAATTCAGACGTCCATAGGTAATGACAGGTAGGTAACATGAAGGAATGCTGTAATGATGTAGCTTTGGGGATGGGAGCTGTAGGCACTCAGGGATTCCTGCTTCACCTAGTAGGTCCCCAGTGACTCAGCGCCAGCAATCATTATTGTGTGAGAATGTGGGTCCAGCCTTGTGAGATTTTCTGATTGTTTTTAAAAGAAATCTGGATTTTATTACCTAATTAATCTTTACCCCTACTCAGACCCTCCATCCCCCAATACCTGGCAAGTGTCTGTTTTATAGTACGTACTCAGTTAGGATTTGGGGAATGAGTGAATGAATGAAGACCCAAATGGATAAGTGATACTTGAATGAGCCACTGTCTCTCAGAGGTACACACTGTGAGTTTGAATGTATTTCTGACTTTCCCTTCAAAAAAGATTAGTTAGGACACTTTTAAACCAATTTTCGATCACCAATTAAGGATCTACTGTGAGAAGTCATGTTTTTGTTTCCCATCCCCCTATCAGGTATTTTCAGGTCTGGATGGTCTTGACAGCTTTCTTTTTTTTTTTTTTCCCCTTTCTTTTTTTTGGAGACGGAGTCTCGCTCTGTCGCCCAGGCTGGAGTGCAGTGGCGCGATCTCTGCTCACTGCAAGCTCCGCCGCCGAGGTTCACGCCATTCTCCTGCCTCAGCCTCCCTAGTAGCTGGGACTACAGGCACCTGCAACCACGCCCGGCTAATTTTTTTTGAGTGTGTATTTTTAGTAAAGACGGGGTTTCACTGTGTTAGCCAGGATGGTCTCGATCTCCTGACCTCGTGATCCACCCACCTCAGCCTCCCAAAGTGCTGGGATTACAGGCGTGAGCCACGCGGCGTTCTAATCCAATTCAGAGAAGTTCCAATACCAGATATGTGCCCCAAATCCTCCAAATATTCAAAATGCAGCTCTCAGGACCTGTCATTTGTCACCTATTATATGCCCTTATTATATGGAAACTCAATTTAATAACTGTCAACACTTTCCTTGAGTCACTTGTTTCTATCAAATTGAAAACATTCGGCCGGGCGCGGTGGCTCACGCCTGTAATCCCAGCACTTTGGGAGGCCGAGGCGGGCGGATCACGAGGTCAGGAGATCGAGACCATCCCAGCTAAAACGGTGAAACCCCGTCTCTACTAAAAATACAAAAAATTAGCCGGGCGTAGTGGCGGGCGCCTGCAGTCCCAGCTACTTGGGAGGCTGAGGCAGGAGAATGGCGTGAACCCGGGAGGCGGAGCTTGCAGTGAGCCGAGATCCCGCCACTGCACTCCAGCCTGGGCGACAGAGCGAGACTCCGTCTCAAAAAAAAAAAAGAAAACATTCATAGAAAATCCATCCTTCTTTTCACATCTCCTGACTGAGACGCAGTTTAGATAATTTGACAGGTGAATGACAGACTCAGCTCTTTTGTAATTGTGAGTTACCGTTAGGATTTGGATATTTGTACTAAAATTTGCCCTTGTAATATCAAGCTTTAAAGGAGGGAGAGACTTCAGAAGTTATTTGGTTGAAATGCCAGTTTTACAGATGATGAAACTTGAGTCCAGGGAAAGAAAGCAATCAGCCAAGTGAGTTGTGGAGCTGAGATCCAAACTCAGGTCTTTGGAGTCAAACCACTTACTCATTGTACCCCTACGATATGCCAGATTTCCCAAACACTTTATCATTGGTTATCTCTAGTAACACCTCAAGAAAGGTGTATTATCTACATTTTACAGGGAAGGAAACTGGGCTCAGAAAGTTGGTATGATTTGTCGCAAGTCCTCCCAGCTAATAATAAGTCCTCCAGTTAACAAAGCTGGAATTGAAGCCCAGATCTGTCTGACTTGGAAGATAGAGCTTCTCCTACAACACTATGGTGGTAAAAGTAAAGGGAGCTTTGTGAAGATCACATTGCTACTGAGTGATGGATTTGAGATAAAAAAAAAAAAAAAGAATGCAAATGCTATCGAGAATTCCAAACTAGAGATTTCATCAGTTCCTGGGCCCCTGTCCTCCATACACAACCAGCATCACTTCCTGAATACCTGGACTAAAACCTTCTCAAACTTTACTATGCATACAAATCATCTGGGATATCTTTTGAAAATGTAGTTTCTGATTGAATAGTTTTTGGGTGGGGCCTGAGATTCTGCAGATTTGGAGATTCTTATGTGAGGCCAATAACCCTAATCCTGGGACAACATGGCTTCCTAAATTGAGATTCAGTTTTCAGCAGCCCCACCCCAAGATTGTCAAGCAGCAAAGTCTGTAAGGTGAGGGAGAGCAGTGTGGTTGTAGTGGGAGGGGACACAATGTTTGTTTAGTTATCATTTATCGAACATCTTCACTATGTGCTGGGCATAATGCTAAGGACTTTACAGGTATAACCACATTTAATCCCCACCAGAACCTTATGAGTAACTATTTGTGTCTACATTTTACAGATGTGGAAGCAGACTCGGAGTTTAGGCCAAATTCACACAGCTCTATCCAATTCCAAAGTTCATGTTCTCAACCACAATGACAACTTTCTCCTCAATGAGATTGTTCCCCTTATACCCACAGCAAGTCTGAATGGCACTTTTGAGGGGGAAGGAGTCTTTGTGCAGACATTGCTAAGCTGATGTGGACAGCACAAACCCAACACCGAAGAATATCTTAGACCAGATGTTGATCAACTTGCTAGAGGAATGTGCCAAAGATTCATTCACACCCAGACAGAAATAAGCGTAAACAGCTTGAGTGAAAACTCAGAAATAACTTGCATACTCAACAATTAAATAATGATTAAATAAAACATAGTATGTTAAGCAATGGGCATAATCAATAGGCAATGGATATACAGATTTCAGGTAGGGTGTTTGCTAGTACAGTATGATCTGATTTTTGTTAGAGAAAAGTTGTGTGTGTTTGCATATAGGAAAAAGATTGAAATTAAGTACTCCAAAAATATCTCAGTAACATTTGGATAAGATTATTACTGTTCATGTTTTTCTTGTATTTTCTTTGTATACTTATCTGTTATTTCTCTTTTTTCCATAGCAGGTTGTATCATTTGTATAATAGCTGAAAGAAATAAAGACATAAAAATGCAACAGAAGCCAGAAAAAAAGCTTTAAAATGGCAGATATTAGCTCAAATTATAAAGCTATAAATATTGTAACAACTGAAATTGGGAAATAGACAATTCAGTGGAAGAGAATAGAAAGTCAAAGACCCATAAGATGTGGATATATAAATAACTTACTTTTTCTCTTGGAGTGGGAAGGCTTTCCTAAAAAATAATACAGAACTATTATGCAGAGGCCCCCAAAAATACTATATATTCAGATGATAGACCATTGACCAACAGGTAAATATTTCTAACCTATAAGACAAATAAATAGGACTAATTTTCTTAATATATAATGTGTTCTTATAACTCAGTAGAAAAATTGGCAAAGAATATGAACATCTGTTCTTGAAGAAAGGAGAAAAAGAGCAAGAGAATGGATCTCAGCCATAGAAGCATTTAGGAGGGAGCAGTGTTTACCTGGCG
Source organism: Homo sapiens (assembly GCF_000001405.40). Classification (NCBI taxonomy): domain Eukaryota; kingdom Metazoa; phylum Chordata; class Mammalia; order Primates; family Hominidae; genus Homo; species Homo sapiens. Next base: position 58,758,014 of record NC_000001.11, on the reverse strand, counting down.
TCCACCTTTGTTGATAGTGTTTTTGTGTAATTATCAAGGTAGAAATTCAAACCATAGTAGAACAGAAACAATCCCATTCGTCACATCTGACCACGAAGGGATTCATCAGTTGCTTAGTGGGAGAAGAATAGGAAATTCATACCAGAATCCTATTTCACAGTTTATAATTGGTTATATAAAATTAGGCCTAAGCTAACTGCATAACAAAACATACCAGGAGGGGAAATGAAATGGCATCAAGAATGAAAAGGATGCTGACAAAGGGACTTCAATTCCATCTCGTCCTCTAGCTGTGTATCCTTGAATGGCCTTGCTAAACCTTCCTTCTTCATCTATAAAATGGACATCAGAAATCCTATTTATGGTGTTTTTCTGTGAAAAAAAATAAGATGGCATATGTTAAGCAGTTAGTGCTCAACAAATAGTAACTGTATTACATCCCCAGAATTATTATTATTATACTATACACATATATATAGGGCAGGAACAGGGTCAACACTATGAGCCTCCTCCACAGGACTGAGCAGAGAGCAGATCCTCACTGACTACTGCATTGGGACAGACACCACAGCCTTGCTGCGACACAGGTGGAGCATGGTTTTGCAGTCTTGCCAAGTTCAGGACCCTGTACCAGCACTGACTCCCACTTAGGGAACCTCTCAGGATCTTTGTTTCTTCATTTGGGGACAATTTTGGTGATGCAAGCTATAAGGGTTAAATTAAATTAAATCATATTTGGGAAAACACTCTTTGAACTATAAAGCTGTCAGCTTCAGCCCTGCCTTCCCCAGTTTGCAGAACCCACTTATTGAGGCATAGTTCATATCAAAGTTACCTCTTTCATCACCTCAGCCCATCCATCTAGGGGCTTCAAAAATGTTCTCAGACCTGGAATCTTAACTGGGGCCAAACAGTACACAGCCTAGTGCATAATACCAAGATCAAACTGACTGGGACAACTATGGGAAACTCTAGGACATCCCCTAAACTGTCAGCATATCCCACACACATGTTTTCCTTGCCTTCACTGCCAACCAGACCAGGAGCCAATATCCCAGGACCAATCATAGCACCATTTATGGAATGTGTTCTGTGTTCTGAGCCTTATGCTGAGTATTGTACTTGCAATGTTTCAATTAATCCTCACACTAGATCTAAGATAAGTAATCTTATCTCCTTTTTACAGATAGGAAAACTGAGGCTTAAGGAAGGTTAGGACAAAAGTTAAGGAACTAATGGTTCATAAATGATGGGCCAGAGTTTCTATTCCAAGTTTATTTGACTATGATCTTGGGTATTATGATGCCTCTGTAAGAATTATTTTGCAGATGAGTCCCATGAAGGAAACTGACCTACCTGCAATCACATAGCTAGTAAGCACCAAAACTGGGATTATAATCTATGTCTCTTCAAGTCCAAAGACATGCTCTCCCTGTGATACTGTGCTACCTTCCCCAATCCCGTAAGACTAGTTTCTGCCCAAGCGTCCCTTCCCTGAGCTCAGAGCCTGCTGTTGTCCCTAGCCTATTGTTGAATGGCCTGGATCCATGCCTAGCTCTTCTTAGTTTCTTTCCCTGGAATCTGGGTTCCAGATTTTGTCCTTGCTGATGGGACACCTGCTGAGGAAGGACAGATCTTCCCAAAAGATGACAGATCCCTACTTGGTTCCAGAGAATGCAAACAAGAGTTCTCACTTCAGACACATCTACCTTTGAGAATGAGCACCAGACTAACCCATTCCCTTGTTTTCTGTGTTGGATCTGTTAAGCTGCCATGCTCCAAAATGCTGAGTGGGGTCAAGAGGTTGTTCTCCAGCCTGCCTTCTTGCAATTTCATCCTCTTGCTAATTCAGGCATGTTAGAGACCCATAATTCTCATACTCAGGCCTGACCGATAACAAATATCAGCCGTTATTTTTTTTTATGCTTCTTCATTTCCAATTGTAAAAGTTGTATGCTCATTGTTTTATTTCCCATTGCTACGACAAACCCTTCCTCTCTATAGCAGTGCTACAGGAGCATAAAGGGAGCAGAGTTGCAGATGGCATATTGTAACTGGCCTTAAGTACAAATTAAAAATCCACCTACATGGTCAAGGGATGCTACAACCAGATCAATTTGCAGATAAAGGTGCTCATTCAAGCTGAAGGATTTAACAGAAAAAAAGCAGACTAAGAAACAGAATATTTAAACACTTCAAGTCATTTGCTTGGAAAGACTTTCTGCATCTTGTTGGAGGAGCGAGTCATCTTCCTGTGTGAAGTGTTCAAAGCTCACTTCCGGTGAGTAATGAGAGGGGCATTCAGGTCTGGATGCAGCCACTGTGCACGTGGTGAAGTCCACGGCACTACGGCTTCCTCTTCAGAAAGCAGAGGTGCTGCCTCTTAGGCTCCATAATTCTGGGCTCTTCTCCAGGCCACAAAACAACCAAAGTTTCTAAGGGCATATGCTGATGGCATCTGCCAGCTCTCTATCCAGTGCAACTATGGCTGTCTGTGACTCACAGTAAGCTCCACCGGAAGCCTTTTCCATGTGTTTCTGTGCAGGCTCTGTTGGCTGAAATTCGTGCCAGTCCCGAGAAAGGTCTGTGGTTCTGGCAGGCAGCAATCATGTGTTGGAGAGCTGCAAGGACCCAGTCTTAGTTCAGGCTGTAGCTGCAGAAAGGGTAAAAACACAAGCCAGCACACACTGATGTGTATAGTGAATGGGCCTGGACTACCTCAGTAGGCTGGAAAATACATAACAGTAGGTCTGGGGGAGAATGTACATCACATACACAGAAGGCTACTCATTGTCTAAGCCAACAATGGAATTTCAAAAAAGATAGAGAAGACCCCATTTCTCTGAAGCAACAAATCGTGCAGGACAGTAAGAGACTTGTGTTAGAAACTCCCATCCTACCTCTTATCTGGGTTAACCATAAGCCTTCAAATGACCCCACAGAAGCAGCCTGCAAGGGAGATGGTGGAGATGTTATCACTTCTACTTTTCACACGAGGAAACTGAGCTTCCGGGAGGTTAAGTTGCCATAGATCACACTGATAGTCAGCGGCCCCAGAGGATTTGAACCCACATCTGTCAGACTCAAAAGCCACCCTCCTACCTGCTTCAAAATTCATCTTGTTCCGATAAATTGTTATTCAAAGTCACCTGTGTTCAATGCTGGAGCCAAACACCCTTTTGGGGTACTGAATAAAAGAAAGAAAAGGAGAGAGGAAAGGAGTCCTAGCTTTGCTGCTTTTAAACAATGTGGCCTTAAGCAAGTCACTAATAACCTCTCCAGCCTGAATGTTTAATTCTGGGATCACTTTGACAAGTTTATCAGGGGAGATTCTCTTGTGCTATTTCCTTTATTGACCCTGAAAAAGTATAGTTTTCTCACTCAGTCATTATTCATTGATTCCTTCACTCTGTAAACATCTACAGACTACTCAGCGGCAGGCACTAAGGCAGAAGGATAAATAAGACATGGTCCCTGCCATCAAAGTAGTCATGGTCTGATGGGAAGAAAGGCCTACAAAAACAGTCACGTGGCAGTGCACAGGACACAGTGCTCACCCTCCATAAGCACAGACCTTTCTGCTGGTGCAGACCCGGAGCCAGCTTCTCAGCATGCACAGCAGAATGTGCACTACAGCAGCACCCTGCCCTAGGACCATGGGAGCACAGGAGAAGGGGCAATTAACACTCAGTTTTTCATCTTTGAACCACAGTCACTCTCTGAAATTACATCTTAGGGCCTTAGGGCTATTTTCACTGCATGGCACTGTTGGGTGACTCATCATAAATTTAGAGCTGGAGAAGAATGCTGAGATTATTATAATGCAATCCCTCATGTTATAGGTGGGAAAACAGGCCTAAAGAGGTAAGGTCACAGGTAGGAAGAAGTAGAAACTGCTTCTGCACCCAGATCTCTTGACTTCCATGTCTTGCTAATTTTCAGCAGTTATGAGATACCCAAATCTTTTTCCTGTTTTGATTCTCCCTACCTCCTTTCATACTATACAGTTTCATTCAACTAGGTGTAATAATGGAAGACAAGGACTCTGAATAAATATGAAACTTCTCCGTGGGACACTTGAAATTAAAAAAACATCATTTTTTTGGACTCATTTGCAGAAATCTCCAGTGAATGGACCTTGACCTAGCTGAGGTACTTAAGTCCTAGCTAACGTTAAAATCTGCTGCAGATGAATCTCTTTTGTAAAATGTAGTATATGGAAAAAGTCTCGATCTTGGATTTAGGAGGCCTGGATTCAAATATCAGCTTTGCCAATAGGTTGCCTTCAGTTCTTAGGCAAGTTCTTCCCTTCTGAGGACCTCAGTCAGTCCCCTCAACATCAAAGGAGAAGACCAAATCCAATAGAAGCTCCATGAAAACAGGGACTTTGTCCACTGCTCTCTCCCCAGTGCCTTGAGCCACACATAGCACACAGTAGGAACTCAACACATGAAAATGTCTCCAAAGACACTAACGTTCAGAAAATAGGAGTCCATGAAATCATTTCCAAAACTTAGAGTTCATGTCTGTTCGTGTTTTTCCCCTCCCTTTTGTTCAAGGGATGAATGCCTCCCCACCTCCCCCGTCTCTTAGCAACAGCGTGGAAGAGTTGACTGTTCTGAAGCAGTTCTCAAATTGTGTGACCTGGCAGCTGTGCATTACTCTGTGTACTCTAATATTATCGTTTCGGCATCACTCCCCCTCTGCTGTCACTTCTCGGGCCCTTTGCTCAGAACCACCCGCTCAGCTCCTCTGCTCACTTGTTGCTGAAAACACACCCTGATTCCACCTACCTTCACCAAGCTCGCCTGTGCTACTATGCAAGACAATAGAAGACTGGACACCTTCAAGCACAGTAATGTATTTTAACAGGAGTACAAGTGTGTAGTGAGGAGGGGTAGATGTTTTGCAATACTTGGCAAACACCAAATTTGAAACCTGTAAACATTTCCCAAGGTCTTCCATGGGTCACTTTATTGTGCAGTGGATTAAGCAAAAATTTTTTAAAACAAAGAACAGTTACTACCATTTATTGAGCCCTTGCTATGTGTAAGGTAGTTTCACACACTCTTCCCTGCTTAATCTTCTCAACAACACTGTGAGCACCCACTTTTACAGAGAAGGGAATTGAGGCTTAGAAACATTGATTAGCTTCTTCAGGTCACAAAACCAGTAACAGCTGCCAATACTGGATCTGGCTCTTCTATCTGATTGCAACATCCCATGTTTTAAAATTTAGATGAATCTAGGCCACGTGTGATGACTCATGCCAGTAATCCCAGCACTTTGGGAGGCCAAGGTGGGTGGATCACATGAGGTCAGGAGTTCGAGACCAGCCTGGCCAACATGGTGAAACCCCATCTCTACTAAAAATACAAAGAAATTAGCCAAGCGTTGGTGCACGCCTGTAATCCCAGCTACTAGGAAGGCTGAGGCATGAGAATCACTTGAACTTTGGAGGCAGAGGTTGCAGTGAGCCAAGATTGTGCACTGCAGTCCAGTCTGGGTAGCAGAGTGAGACTCTGCCTCAAAATAAAAATAAAAATTAGAAGAATCTGGAAAGTTAAAAGTCCGCTAAGAACAACCTAGTGAAAAGGAAACAGAATGGCAGCTACAGACCATCCAGTTCTTTTTCTCCACCCACTTTATTTCCTCTCCTAAAACTGAAAGAACTTGTTTTCTGTGACTCCAGTATATAGAGCTGACACTAACATTTGGGAGTTATGAGGAGATACTTAGCAATTATTAGGTTGAAGAGAGTTCTGTCAGAACGGACCTTTCAGCTCATTCAATTTAGCCCTGATTTTTTTTTTTTTTTTTTTTTTTTGAGACGGAGTCTCACTCTGTTGCCCAGGCCGGAGTGCAGTGGCACAATCTCATCTCACTGCAATCTCTGTCTCCTGGGTCAGGCGATTCTTCTGCCCCAGCCTCCCAAGTAGCTGGGATTACAGGCACATGCCACTATGCCCGGCTAATTTTTGTATTCTTAGTAGAGACGGGGTTCCACCATGTTGGCCAGGTTGGTCTCCAACTCCTGACCACGTGATCCACCCACCTTGGCCTCCCAAAGTGCTGGGATTACAGGCATGAGCCACCATGCCCAGCCTAGCCCTGATATTTTATAGATGGTAAACTTTATATATTTGGGTGAACTTAAGAAGGTCACCCAAGGTCACCCATCTAATTAGTAAGTACTAGGCCCAGCCTTGTCTGGTACCAAATCCTATGCTCTTCATCTGCAAAGAAGGGGCAATAACACTTGTCTATAAAGCTGTGGCTGTGAGGATTGTTTTCAAAGTATTCAGCTAGGTCAGTACCTGACATATGGTTGGCCCTGCAGAGGGTAGATGCTGCTGACCCTAAATATCAGTCTCTTTATTTGTAAATGGGGTGGGCAAGGGCCCTTGCCTCATATATTTGTTAAAAAAATTAAATGAGCTCTTGAATGTGCAGAGCTCTGTAGCATTTGCTTCTCAAACACTACCTATCATCTTTTGGAGCTGTTAGGTATGGCATTTCAGGTGTTCCTGGGTGACCTCCCAAGTGGACAATATTAGAGTGAAGTTAATGGCATCTGATCCTGGCCTTTCCTCATTATAAATGATTATAAAGCAGAAGAAAAGGAAAACACAGAAAAAAAATTAGAAACTTACAACTCCGTAGATGTTTTACCTTCATATCCTTCTTCTCTTCTTGGTATTGCTTGGGCCTCACTGAAGCCATGGGTCCCCTCCTTATTGCAGAGAAGGCTGTTGATTGGAAGGGCACAGAGAGACTGGCTCTGGCTGTACTAGGCTTGATCTGGAGTCTGGTGCTGCCAGGAAAAGGGCTCATAATTCAGGAGGGATCTGCATGCATGTATGTCATGAGATGAGAGAACTGTGGGTTCTGCCCAATGTGCTGTGAAGATAGATTGGACATCTGGCAGTGAAGACCAACTCTAGTCGGGGCCATCCCATTCTTGGTTCACCAAAGTGTCTTTGTTAGGGGACTCGATCACTCCCTGGCTGTACTTCTCTAAAGGCTGTCTCTTCAGGGTGAAAATAACCTTTGCTCTCTTTACCTTGCTTCTTCCAGACTCCAAGTATTCAACACGGTTTTTAAAGGCTGCACCATCAGGAGGATTGAGTGGGAGGTGAGGAAGTAGAGACAGGTTGTGTAGACAAATACTGCAAGGAGTTTGGCTGTGAAAAAATTGAGGGAGAAAGAATGGGACAGTGGGGGAAGAGTTGATTTTTTTTGAAGGTGGTGTTCTAAGTTAGAAAAGACCAGAGCCTATTTAAATGCTTTTGAGGAGAAGCAAGCCAAGTGGAAAAGGTTGAAGGGATAGGAGCTTAATTGATAGCACAAGGTCCCTGAGAAAGCAGAAGGGGAGGGGTCCAGACCTCAGGGGCTGCCATTGGCCTTGAGCAGGAGGACAAGACCGGGGGTACACAAGGAGCAAAGGTGAGAGCACAGTTTATCCAAGTCCCAAAGTTTGTCATGGTCTTTCTTCCCTCTTTGCCCAGCTGTGGCCACATGCCAGTGCGGTTCTCGATGCTCCACGCACATGAATTAACACCCTCACCACAATCCTGCTACAGAGGCATTTTAACCATCATTTTCTAGATGTTCAAACCAAATCTCAGAGAACATATGAAATTGCCTATGGTTACACAACTGGTATTATTAATAAAAATAGTGCTGACATTAATACAGCCCTAACTATGTGTCAGACTTTATTCTAAGTACTTTATATTCATGATTCTGTTTAACCCTATGAGGCAGGTACAATTATGATTCTGATTTTACAGATTATTTGCCCAAGGTCCAACAACTTCAAAATGGAGCCAACACTCAAGCCCAGGCCGTCTGGTTCCCAGGACAGTATTCTTAACCATCATGCCATGTCATCTTTTGTTGTAGGAAACAAGGTAATGGAGATTAAGTTCAAACTCTCATTTGTCTGACTCCAAATGATGCCATACTTTGCTAATTGCATCAAGAGATGAGGATGGATAAAGGTAAATTCACCTTTAGAATTGAATATTCTATACCAAGATCCAGTTGGGATGTCTGAGGACAAGTAAGAGAAACTCAAATACCTCCTCAATAGACTCCCTCCAATGACTCATTGCCCCAAACTGGGTAACCAGGCTCTCCACTTCTCTAACCAGCTGGGGTGCCTCTTTGGTGAGAATTTTCAAGGGAATGAGTTGACAGTGGTTTAACAATCAACAGTGCCTGCTGGATTCACACAGGGCAGTAAGTGCTTTACCCAAGTCTTCATTGATTCATTTGTTCATTCGGTAAATCATTTCCTGACCACCAGTTCTGCCTGGTACAGTGTCAGCAGTAGACATGTAAGTCAGGCACACAGTTCTTACTTCTTAAGCAGCTTACAGACTGATGCTTGGTGTAGATATGTAAGCAGACAAGTCCATTGTAATGCACGGCCACTTCCTATAGTGAGGTGTGTCCAAAGGGTGACAAAAACAGAAAGGGGGTGCCAGTGCCTGTCTAGGGGAGGGACTAAGAAGAAGACTTCTTTTAAGAAAAGAAGTTTGCCAGAGGAACAAGGGAAATGAAAAGGGCATGTGACTCAGGCAGAGGGGGCAACATAAGCAAAGTCAGGGGAGCATGGGCAAGTATGGCAAGTTCGGCTGCAGCAGAAATGCCAGGTTTGAGGGGTGGGAGATGAAGCTGGAGAGGTAGGCAGAGGCAGATCATGTTATCACAGGTGCTGGATGCCACATGTAGGAATTTAATCTCTAATCTTTGCCACCACCCTGCGAAGCTGTTCTATTACTCGTTCCAATTTACAAATAAGAAAACGGAGGTTCAGAAGAACTAATGGGCTCCCTATTCACAGCTGATAAGAAACAGGGCCAGAATTTGAACCCAGGCTGGCCTGATGCCAGAGCCTACCCTCTTTCCACTACATCATAATGACTGCCTTTGGTTCTGCCTCCAAAGTGATAGCACCCTATTACATAACCAAACAAATAAAAAGCCTTTTTTTATGGTGACAGTGGCAATGTCATTCGAGGAACTAAGATTTGTTCCTTTTACAAATGAGACTGGGGCACATTTTTCCCTCTGCTCATTATAAAGGCCTGCTTCCTACCAGAATGAATAATGAGGTTGTAGCTGTCTGCATTCAGCCATAGGAAGACGCATAATTGTATTTCTTCCATGATGGAAGAACCAGCTGTGGTGCTAATAAAAATGACTGCTTTTCAATTCTTTCAGCAGAGTAAATAAAACTCCCTTGTGATTAACGGCAAATTGGTTTCCTACAGAGTTGTCAAATCTGAAGGGGTGGGACAAGGGGGGTCAGGGAGAAGATGGGAGTGACAGCATGGTTAGTGGTTCTACTCCAGCAGTGTTCTTTCTCCAAGTATGTGTTCCAGAGACACCTTGAATAGAATACATCTTTTCTTTCTCTTTCTTTTTTTTTTAGAGACAAGGTCTTGCTCCGTTGCCCAGGCTGGAGTGCAGTTGTGTGATCATAGCTCACTGCACCCTCCAACTTTTGGGCTCAAGCAATATTCCTGCCTCAGCAGGAGTAACTGGGACTACAGGCACCCACCACCATACCCAGCTAGTTTATTTTTATTTATTCATTTATTTTTTTTTTTTTGAGACAGAGTCTTGCTCTTGTTGCCCAGGGTAGAGTGCAATGGCACAATCTCGGGTCACTGCAAGCTCCGCCTCCCTTCCACCTCCCGGGTTCAAGTGATTCTCCTGCCTCAGCCTCCCGAGTAGCTGGGATTACAGGCATGCACCACCACACCAGGCTAATTTTGTATTTTTAGTAGAGATGGGGTTTCTCCATGTTGGTCAGGCTGGTCTCGAACTCCCGACCTCAGGTGATCCACCTGCCTCTGCCTCCCAAAGTGCTGGGATTACAGGTGGCTCACACCTCCCCCAGCAAAAGCCTCTAGCCCCTGGGCTCCCCAGGCGGCTCCCCTTCCAAGCTCCCACTGGGCCCGACCCTGTTTAGCTTCCTGGACTGGGCCCAGGCGCCCTCAGGCTGCTATGGTGCCAGGGGCTAGTTTATTTGTGTAGAGACGGGGCTCACTCTATTTCCCAGGCTGTTCTCCGACTCTTGGCCTCAAGTGATCCTCCTGCCTCAGCCTCCCATAGTGTTTGGATTATATGGGTGAGCCACTTTGCCCAACCCACTCTTGGCCTCAAGTGATCCTCCTCCCTCAGCCTCCCATAGTGTTTGGATTATACGGGTGAGCCACTTTGCCCAACCCAAGAAAGATATTTTCAACTTCTTTCAGAAAATTGCCAATTCTACCAAAATAACACTTCAGTATCCTGGCATGGGGACAAAATAAAAAAGGGAGCTCACTTGTTAACAACCAGAGTTCCTAAGACTTACAGGTTTGGGATATCAACTCTTTCTCCATCCAGGTATTCATTCATTTATTCTACAAATATTTTAAAGGCTTACTAGTGATCTGTTCATTAATTGACTATTACTGAGTGTCTACTGTATTCCAGGGCTGGGCTTTGGGAATAAATGGTGAAAAAGACCCAATTCCTGCCCTCATGGTGCACACAGTCTAATGAATAGATAGATCTGTTAGTAGTTTTTTATGATTCTTTTTCTTTTTATAATTTTCTTGTAAACACAGTGTCTTGCTATGTTGCCCAGGCTGGTCTCTGATTCCTGGCCTCAAGTAATCCTCCTACCTCAGACTGCTAGGATTACAGGTGTGAGCTACTGTGCCTGGCCATGATTCTTGTGATAAGATCTATGTCCTGGAAATAAAGGTAGTGTATTTTAATAGCTTTTTCATTCTCTTGGCAAATGGGATAGAAAAACTATTTTGCCCTCACTTTTAGGTTAAAGAGTTACAAACCAAGGTCAATGAAAGATCAATCAGAAATGAAGATGATGTAGCTTTGAAATGTTAACAGAAGACTATATGATTCTGGTTGCAAAATATTGGTGGATCAGACAGGGTCCTGATAGGAAACCTATGGAACACCCATATTAGGATAATTCTAAGAAAGTTTATTACAAAGGGAGTGTTTACAAGGATGTGGGTGGGATGCAGGTGACTCATAAGGGCTGTGCAGGAACCCAGGGCTAGCAGCAGTGGTGCTAACATTCAAAAGAATTACAGAGGGAATTGGCTATGGGAACCTAGAAGGGAAGAGTAGTGTCGAGAAGATCAGCATAAGAGGAAGAGTGACTGACAGTTGACGGTCACAGCCAGACCAGCATGACCATACAAAGAAGATGTCAGGGGAATCAAACCCTGCCTTCACTCACCTGCCTCCCAAATTTTTTCCATCTTGGAGGTCAGGGAAGGCTTCCTACAGGAGATGGCACCTGAGCCGGCTCTTGACAGATGAATGGGAGTTCGTTAGGTGATGAAGAAAGTGAAAAAAAGTTCCAGGCAGAAAAAAAAAAAAATAGGCCAAAGTAAGAAGGTGAGAGGTTCAGAGGCAGACTGAAAATAAATCCTAAAGGACTTATATGTCATGCTTAAAAGTTTGGTCTTTGTACCCAGGGCACTGGGGAGCCATTGCATAGGTGACTGCCATGATCATATTTGCATCTCTTATAGAAGACCCCTTTCTCTGTTGCATAGAGGATGAATTACAGAGAGGTGGATAGTGGACAAGAAGAGACAGGCTGATGCAACAAGCAGCAGATAAAGGGTGAGAGCCTGGGCCAGGATCATTCTGGTGGACATGGAGAGAAGGGGGAGGTTTCGAGGTACACTTAGGAAGTAGCAATCATAGCTGAATGAATGGAAAAAGAGTCCACTGGGGAGGGAGGCATCTAGGCTGATTCTCAGGATTCTGGCTAGAGTGTCAGTGGATGACAGTATTTTCCAGGACTAAAAACAAAACAAGAGCAATAGGTTTGGAGAAGGAAAAGAGATGTCTTTGGTCTAAGGCATATTGAGTTTCATATGCCTGCAGAAACTCTAGGTGGAGTTGTCTAGTGTTACTTGGTTACGACTCTCAAGTTCAGCAGAGGGAGAAAGAGCCAGGCTAAGAGAGAGATGTGGGACACATGAACGCAGTGGTGATAAGGCCGTGGGGATGCGCAAGAGGAGCCAGGAAAAGCCCAGGGAGAGAGAAGGGAGAGGGCATACCTGCTTTGTCACTGCCACACCCTCATCTGTAGGATGAAATGGGAGTGCCTCCTTCACCCGGTGGTTGTGATCATGTAAAGAGGAGATGTGTGTTAAAGAGCCTTGTGTATGACAGATACTAACAAGTATTTGCATAAGCAGAGAAAAGATATAAAAGCCAAGGAATTAGATTTTATACTGTGTTCAAAGAACAAAACAGCAGCTGCTTTATATTTAATGAACAACACAGTATCATATCTGTGCTACTATGTTTTTTCTAACAGATTTGTCTTTCCTTGCTCCTTGGACTGTAAGGGGATAAGAGCTATAACCCACAGTTGTTTGTATTTTGCGTACATTTAAGTACTCATAGCATATATTAGGTATCTACTAAATATATAAACATGGTTGATTGATTGTCTAATAGCAAAAAAATTTTTTTTTTTAGAAAGACTCCAAGCTGGATATATAGTTCCAATTACTCCAGCACTTCTCTATAAATGACAAACCACTTGCTCTCTCCGGGTCCTGTTGCTCCCCCACTGGAGAACTGTGATTAATGTCCCTTCCCTGTTTGAGAGTGGTGGTCCAAAGATTAATGAAGTCAGAATCCCTTGGAGATAACATGAGTAAGAAATGGGCTGTATTGTTGTCCTGTTGTAATGAATTTGAAAATTATCCTATATTGTCCAAATGGCAACTGACTCATCAAAAGTGGGTGTTTGGAAGTGATAAATGGAAAGTCTGAGGATTTTCTCATTAATTAACTTGGCTGTGAAAATAAGCACTGGCCCACATTCCCAGTGAAATAAAAACAGACCAAAAGGTAACCAAAAAGCCAGGCTAGTATGGAGTGGCGTAAATTCTGCCCTGGGCATAGACTCAGACTTTTGGCAGTCAAGTAATAATTTTATATAGGTAATATATCACTTTCTATTATATGTTTTCCAAATTTTCTATAATGAGCACATGCTCTTTTATAATAAAAGTTAATTTTTAAAAATATTATTAACATAAAAAATATTCATCATACATTTATAACATAAGATAATATAATAGAGATTAAGTAAATTCTGTATTTATTTTTTCCTATGTTTTTGAGTCTGCTTTATCAAAATTCCATCATGTTATTTGCCCTTTATTCTATTACCAAATAAATCAAAGGTCTTTAGCTGTAAGCAACAGAAATTACATCTGATGAATATATACCAGAAAGGAAACATGCTGGGAATATATGGGGGAATTCAAAAGTTCAAAAGGAAAGCTGGGAGCCAAGCTTAGGAAGCCGGGAGGAGGACAGAAGTGGTTCTAGGGGTTCCACAGGAACTATGAGCAGGCTAATCCGGTTGCCCTTTTGACAACCCATGAGTTCAAACCATCCACCCTAATTCCTGTCCAACTAGGGAAGGAAGATCTGGCCAGCCCAGTGAGGACCATATTTCTGCCTATGGCTAGGGGACAGTAGGGCACCTTGCTAACTGTTTCATCCAGACTGTATCCAAATGACTTTGGTTGTTCACCCAAGGGAGTTTTAATCTTAATCCCAAAAGAAATGAAATGGATGTTGGACAAACAAAAACAGATGCCCACCACATTAGGTAATAGTTTCCCCCCTGTGACTTCTTAAAAGTATAATTTACATATAAACAATAATGTTTCAAACTGACCACTTGGTCTATTGGGGAACTGCTCTGATTGTTAGGAAACCCTTCTGCAATTGTTGATTCCATTTCTATCCCTCCATAGCAAAAGAAGGGTCAGGATGGTGGTGGAGTAAAAGAAGGGTCAGGATGGTGGTGGAGTTGGAAACAGTATTGTTTGAGGACCAGTTGAGAAAGCTGCATGATGGAGCAGCTTGAAGGTGAGAAGGAGACTCAAGGTGAAGTGAGCTCTCATCACCATGCTTCCAAAGGGCAGCCAGCCATGTAGCAAAGGAATGAGCGTTGTTCTTTCTTTCCCTAGAGGCTACAATTAGGACCAATGGGTGGAACTTCAAGGGAGGCAAATGCAAATGTAATCTCAAGGAATGGTAGAACTTTTCAACAGAGTTGCCCCACTCTGGAGAGTTGGAAGTCCCCATCTCAAAAGGTAGGCAAAGAGGAATTTCAGCATGGATGGGGTTGGGTTATACTTGTATGATCTCTAAGGGTTCTTTGGATCTTGAGATTCTATTATCCTATGAGCCTTTATTCTTTGCAAGCCTAAAGTATGTCAGGCTGAAGAGGGTTCCTTGCTTTTCTCAGCCTCTGGGTCACACCCATGCCTCAGACTCAGCTTCTCTTTTTCATTTCATTTGCTTGAAAACTTGTGTTTGTGGAAGAATTCTCCATGGACTACTTACTGCAGGAGAATACTGGGATTTCCTCAACTGAATATAGCAAGCAGGAGAGGAGAGAAAAAGCATGAACAGTGGATTAGTAGTAAGAATTCTTGACCAGCCTGGCCAACATGGTGAAACCCTATCTCTATTAAAAATACAAAAAATTAACTGGGCGTGGTGGCGTGCACCTGTAATTCCAGCTACTTGGGAGGCTGAGGCAGGAGAATTGCTTGAAGCTGGGAGGCAGAGGTTGCAGTGAACCGAGATCGCACCACTGCACTCCAGCCTGGGTGACAGAGTGAGACTCCATCTCAAAAAAAAAAAAAAAAGAATTCTTGAGTTTAAATCCCAGCTCTGCCACTTACACACTGTGAGATCTTAGGCAAGTCCACTTGGGTCTTGTAATTCTTATTCCATTCATATGTAAAAAGTACAATAACAATAATAATAAAACTAATAACCTGCCTTACAGGTTGATAAACATATGTAACACCTGGTTTTCATTGGGTCCTAATTATTTACTAGATTATTTACATGCATTATTTACAAGCATTATTTCATTTAATTCTTCTAACAACCACATAATGCATATATTCTATCATTTCTATCTCACAGATGAGAAAACTGAGGTTTAGAGAGATGAAAGCATTTGCCTAAGTGTCAGAGCTAAAAGAAAAATCAACAGAGTCGGCCGGGCACGGTGGCTTAGCCCTGTAATCTCAGCACTTTGGTAGGCCAAGGCGGGTGTATCACCTGAGGTCAGGAATTCAAGACCAGCCTGGCCAACATGGTGAAACCCCATCTCTACTAAAAATACAAAAATTAGCTGGGCGTGGCAGCAGGCACCTGTAATCCCAGCTACTCAGGAGGCTGAGGCAGGAGAATCGCTTGAACCCCAGAGGAGGAGGTTGCAGTGACCCTAGATCGCGCCTTTGCATTCCAGCGTGGGAGACAGAGGGAGTCTCCATCTCAAAAAAAAAAAAAAAAAAAAATCAATAGAGTCTAACTGATTACTTTCTAATGCCAGACCACAGTTGTCAGAATTACATGAGCTGGCACATATTATACCGAACTTAACAGAGGGTCTGGCACATAATAGGGACTCAGTAAATTCTAGTTCTCTTCTACTCATCGTGCTTGCCACTTCAATTTTCTATTGAATAAAAACTCCAGTTAACCAACATTCATCTTTACATGTTGTGCCCCGGTGTCGCCTTCATCCTCAGGCTGGTCACAAGATGGCGGCAGCAGTTCCACATGTCAAATCAAAACACCACACAATGGTCTTCTTCCTCTTTTTCAAGAGCAAGAAAACTTTTCCTAGAGGCCTCCTTTCACATCTTATATAACGGAGTTCGGTCCACAGTCTCGTTCCTAAACCAATCACTGACAAAAGAGGATTGACTGAATAACTGTTGGGCCAATCAGATTCACCCCTGGAGGTGGTCAGCTTCCAAAATCTGCCTTCTGCTTAGATGGAAAAAGGAGCTAACAGATGCCGGTTAGGCTACCAACTGTCTCCCCTACACCCCTATTTTCCTGAAAAAGAAATAGAAGGTCAGAGGAATTTCATTAATATGTCCAGACTCAAAGGGCAGGAGTGGGGTTGCAGCAAAGGAAGCGTGTGGCCAACGTGGCTCCTAGGAAAGCAAACGGCTTTAGGCTGTGTCATGGTAGGAAGAGGATTTATGACAGTGGTTCCCAGCTGTGCTGCACTAATGACCAGACACCACCCCTGGGGATTCTGATTTACTTGTTCTAGGAGGAGCCTGGGCACCAAGGATTTTAAACGCTGCCCAGGATATTTTAATGTGCAGCCGAGATATGCAGCACAGGCTTAGGTGGAGAGCTGTTGGAATGTGGAGGCCTCAGGGCCAAAGGCACAGAGTCTCCACAGGATAACAAGAAGCCTGTCTCCTTTTTCTCCCCAATAATTGCTGCCATTTATTTAGGATCCTCATGTTTCAGGCATAGCTGTACCCCCAAACATTCTACATCTAGTAGGCAGTCAATAAGCAAATGAATCACAAATGCTTTTCTTATCGAATAGAAAATTTTTACACAAGCTCCACAAAGTAATAATGCTTCCACTTTACAGATGAGGAAACCAAGGCCCAGAATTTTTTTTTTTTTTTTTTGAGGCAGAGTCTCGCTCAGTCGCCCAGGCTGGAGTGCAGTGGCTCGATCTCCGCTCACTGCAAGCTCCGCCTCCTGTGTTCACGCCATTCTCCTGCCTCAGCCTCCCGAGTAGCTGGGACTACAGGCCCCCGCCACCACGCCCAGCTAATTTTTTTTTGTATTTTTTTAGTAGAGACGGGGTTTCATTTCACCGTGTTAGCCAGGATGGTCTCGATTTCCTGACCTCGTGATCCACCCTCCTCAGCCTCCCAAAGTGCTGGGATTACAGGCGTGAGCCACCACGCCCGGCTGGCCCAGAAATTTTAAGAAAGTAAGTCTCTCTGACTGTGCTCTCCAAGTTCTGTCCATCAGCCCAAGAAATCAGGATCTGAGAAGCAAAACTAGCCCTAGGAAAGCAGGAGTAGCCAAGAAAAAGGCCCTAGAAGAACTAGTAGAGGGCCCCCTCTCCCCTTCTTTCTGTTCCCCGACCCCACCCCCCACTCCCAACCACCACCACCACCAAAGCCTCTCCTTGCATTTTACACTGTCTGGGACCTCTTTGTGGCCCTCCCACCTGCCTGGGAACACTGGCCTCTTAGGGTAAAGGAGGAAAGGACTGAAGCTTTCTGACAGAGGCACAGGCAGGAGTCAGGATCAATTCTTAATTTTGAGAAACCCCAGAGGTGGGAAAGGACCGTGACCCCGTAGGTTGGGAGGCCTGGGAATGAGACCTGGTCTCAGCGCCTCACTTGTGGTGTGACCTTGAGCAAGGCCCTTCCTATTTCTGGCCTCCAGTGTCTTCATCTGTAACATGAAGAAGTTGGACCAGAATCTACAGGTCATAAACTCAAGTGCTTTTAGGTCCAGGTAATTGATGTATACTAATGGGGCAGCCTGGATGAGAAGTCACTGTTGGGGAACTAGTGTGCATATGTCCTGTCCACAAGGGTGTAAATTTATTGAATCCCAGCCAGTTGTCACCATAGAGGCATGTTGGCTCAGCATTGTGAAAGCTTCAGATTTATTTTTTTTTTAATATGCTAAGAAATCTATATGTTGTGTGCACCCTCCTGGTTAATGTTAGTCTGATAACAATAATAATAAACTTCTGCAAGGCAAACAAAATATGAATGTGGGCTGAATTTCACCTGCAGGCAGTTTCTTTGTGATCTGCAGGCTAAGTGATCTGTAAGGCCCTAACTCTCATATTCTGTGATTTCTAAATAAGGAGATACCTGACCGTATATGGCAGAGGGCAAAAATCAGCATTTCTGCACTAACTGAAAATTCTTTTCATGAAGTAAACCCAAACGGCATTGTCCTCATTAATAATTCTTAATACTTGGGTCTGAATTTATTTATGAGGCTCTGCAAAAATTACCTCAAAATCTGAGGATCACAGTTTAGAAAACTAAGGCACCCTCTTTATAGAGAAATAGTGCCCTCTGCTGGAAGAGTGTTACAGGAAACACCTTTGGCGTTGAGTTAATTTAATACTTGGAAAGAGTGGATTTGTTTGTTTCCACTTGAAATAGATTTAATGAAGAATAATAAATAAAATAGAAAAGCATATTTATGAATGGTTTGATGCATGTTAGGCAGAAATTGGGCTTTCATGTATCCATTTGGGAGTAATTACTCTTAATCTATTAAAAAAATGTCCAAGATTAGAGAAAGGAAGAAAACATTTGTTACATTAACTGACAGCAATCTGGAATGGCAGACACAGACACAGAGAGGAAATTGAAATCTATGTCTCCAGACTTTGCTCTGGAAAATCGGAGCCTTTATAATAATGTATTGCAAGTTTATAGGCTTTATCAGTTACTTTCACTGCAACCTTTTAATAAATCTTCCCAGTGACTATCCAAGACAGATATTATTATTATCTCCATTTGACAGATAAAATAAATGAAGCCCAGAGAGTTTGAGTGACGAGCTGGAGATTCCTGCACAATGAAATGCCAGAAATAAGCTTAGGTAATTTCTCTATTTGTAAAAAATGGATAAAAACAGTACTCTACTTGCAACAAGCGTTAACTGAGAACATATTTGTGAGACATTTAGCACAGTGTTTAGCCCAGAGTGAACCTGGGACTCCATAGTAGCTACTGCTACCAGCCCAATGCCCATATCCAGGTCTTTTGACTCCTTACCCTTGCCTTTGCCACAACATTGGGCAGAGTCTTGAATGGTCAAAAAGGAACACCATGCTGCTGGGATTGATAGCAGTGGCCCCAACCCCTAAAAATATAGTCCAGATTTTTTAACCATTAGTGGCTTTGATAATGGCTCTTAAGATCTTGAGTTGCCTCATTAAAATAGGTTGTTCTAAATAAGGGAAGTTATGGTTCCTGTGAATCGTGCACCCCACACCACACCAGGACTATTGTGTAAGTTCCTGAAATCCACATTTAACACGGACATGCTGGGGAATATCTAAAACAAGTGCTGACAGGTCCAGGAGCCACATCAGAACTGTTGAAGGAACTGGGGATATTTGGCCAGGAGAGGAGAAGACTCAGGAGTGAATTTATTCTCTCACTCTTTCACTTGTTCATTCATCCTACAACATGTCCTAAGTGCTTACTCTGTACGTGGCACCATATTGAGTGCTGAGGATACAGCAAAACAGACCTAAGGGCTGGTCTCATGAAACCTAATCTAGTGAGGTCAGAATAGTAGGGGTTGTCACGTGCAAAGTTAGCTTTGTTCTGGGTGAGTCCATATAGCCGGACCGGGGCCATCTGAAAAGTAGATTTGGGCAGAACTTTTAAACTGGCTGGAGGGATCTGGCTCAACTGTGAGGACTACTTATTGCTGAGAGCATGCAAGATGAGTCTAGGAACCTGTGGAAGCTTTAGAAGGAATTCAAGGTGGGGTGGAGTGGGTGGGATTTGGCCGTCTTAGTTTCCTCGCAGCCTAGACACTGTGGATGCATCGGCTTTGCCCACTCCGCTCTGGGAAGCCCTCTGAAGCTGCGACTTGTGCTTTCACTCTGAGACGGGAATCACAAGGACCTAATGCCCCTTGGTCTTTGGCTTCCTTTCTTAAGCCTTTGTCTTCTTGGTGGTTTGGTGATACTGTGGCCTTTTCTCTTCTGGTCACAGCTAAACAGTGTCCCATAACCACAGAACATAAAGGAATTGGCAGCAAAAATCTTTAGGACAGGACATGGATTTTTCAAAAATACATAAAAAATAAATTCATCTTCATTATCAATAAACTAGGTGCAAAAATTAATCAATAGGAATGAGAGGGGAAAATCACCTAAAGATAACAACTGCCCACAATATTTCCTTCCATTTTTTTCCTTCTGTTTAGGATTTTATTTTTTTTATTTATTCATTTTATTTATTTATTTTTGAGACAGAGTCTCGTCGCTCTGCCACCCAGGCTGGAGTGCAGTGCTGCAATCTTAGCTCACTGCAACCTCCACCTCCCAGATTCAAGCAATTCTCCTGCCTCAGCCTCCCGAGTAGCTGGGATTACAGGCACGCCCCCACGCCCGACTCATTTTTGTGTTTTTAGTAGAGACAGGGTTTCACCATGTTGGCCAGGCTGGTCTCAAACTCCTGATCTCGTGATCCTCCTGCTTCGGCCACCCAAAGTGCTGGGATTACAGGCATGAGCCACTGTGCTCAGCCTATTTTATTTTTTAAGTGCATATGATCACACCAAATCCTACTATTTCACTTAGGATTATTCACACAAAATATTTCTGTAAAGTGACAAGTTCTTCATTACAATCTTATATAATTAGGTTGGTGCAAAAGCAATTGTGATCTTTGCCATTATTTTTAATATTTATTCATTTAATAGTCATTTATTTAATATGCATTTATGTAAAGTATTTGCTAATACTTTTAATAAATTATGTAATTATGTTATTATATAATATTGTTTTGAGTTAATACACCATAGTTTACTTGTCCATTCTCCTATCATTGGCCATTTCCAATTTTTGATATTATAAACCATGCCCAGATCTAAGACATTCTATGACTATCTGAAATGTGAAGAAATATTTGTGTACAAAGAAGTTTGTTGTGGTTTTTCATTTCCTATTGTCTCTCCTCTTCCCCACCCCTCGCACATAACAAACATATATACACCCCTAACTACTTGCTCTTTGCTGAACAAGCCAAAGTCTCCAGACATGGCCCATGCTGTTCCCTTTTCTAGAATACCCACGACCCACTACCCTTCATAACACACTTACTCATTCTTTAAGATCAAGCTCAAATGTCATCTGCTTTGCAAAGCCTCCTTCACAGCTCCCTAAGGTCCCTTTTCTCCGTTCCACCACGCTTCTGTCTTAACACTCTGTTGACTGAGTAAATGAGATGTTTGATCAGCTACTTAGAAAGTTAATTAATTGTCACACTGCTGGCCAATTTCTATAAGGGAAGTGGCCTAGCATCAAGCCAGAGAAGTCTCTCACATTTGTATGCATGTGTGTGTGCAAAAGCATTCTTCCTTCCTATCTATTCTGGATTAACTGGGTGTGTTCTTATGAGATGCTGACACTGCAGTGTGGTGAAAGGATCCTTGGTCTTTTCCCGGTTTGAATCCTTCCTCCCACTTTCTTCCAACACACCCTGAAGAAAAACCATGTATCAGACACAAAGTTGGGCTCTGGAAGTGCAAAAGCAAACAAGATGTGGTCTCTGCTCTTAAGAAACCTAGAGTTTAGTGGAGAAAACAAATGCATAGATGTAAAAATGCATAGAATCTGCATAGGTACTATTATAGAAATCCATATGGGCTATGGTTTTGGGAAAATAAAGAAGGAAATGGCTCTGTGGGGAGGGAGAAGATTGGCATTGGGTGAAGAGCGAGAAGAACTAACGTCGATTTGAAGATCAATAGATGTTCCCTGAGTGGACCAAAAAAGAAAGTGCATATGCAACCAGATAGAGCACAAAGAGATCTGCTTCTAGATCTGACCTAGGTTCCCACTACTGATGGATGATATGAGGCTTAAATTAAACAAGATAACATGTGTGAAGTGCTTTGTGCCATGACTGGGCCTCAGCATGAGCCTAGCATAGGGCAACTGTGCCAGATTGTCTCTTGCAACTCAGTACCATTTTTGCCCTTAGAAACCTAATAACTAAGTCTTGCAAAATCCCTATTCCCAGAATATGTTAGTTTGCTAGGGCTGCCATAACAGAGTGCCACAAACTGGGTGGCTTAAACAATAGAAACTTATTGTCTCACAGTCCTGTAGGCTGAAAATCCAAGATCAAGGTGTTGAAAGCGGTGGTTTCTGAAGTCTCTCCTTGACTTGTGGATGGTCATCTCATCTCCATGTCTTCATGTGGTCTTCTCTCTGTGCCTATCTGTGTCCTAAACTCCTCTTTTTATAAGGACATCAGTCATATTAGAGTAGGGCCCACCCACATAACCTCATTTTACCTTAACCCCTTTTTAAAAAGATTAAGGTAAATCTGCAAATACAATCACATTCTAAGGTACTGGGGGGTATGAACTTCAACATGTGAACTTGAGGGGACACCATTCAGCCCATATCACAAAGTTTCAGGGCTTAGAGCCATACATGCAATATTTGAAAGGCAAAAGAGACTCAAAAGCCAGTATTTTGGTTTTCAGCTGGTGGCAGATGTGAAGTTTTTCTGGAGCTGTACCTTCCAGCCACGCTCTTGAACATAACCCATTTAGCTGCTGCAGACAGCCCAAAGCATTAGCAGCAGCTTCCTGCCATGGCTGCGCTTCCTGACGTCCTGAACACTGGCAGTTGGCTCGCCTAACCTTTGTTCTGCCGGTTCTTCTAATGGTTTTGTAAGCTTCTAATTTCCTGTATAAAATTTATTCCTGTTTGAGATACCTACAGTGGTTTTCATTTTTTACTAAACCTTGGAGACTATAGTAGTTATTATTACTATTTTCTTTTTTTGAGATGGAGTTTCGCTCTTGTTGCCCAGGCTGGAGTGCAATAGTGCGATCTCAGCTCACTGCAACTTCCACCTCCTGGGTTCAAGCAATTCTCCTGCCTCAGCCTCCCAAGTAGCTAGGATTACTGGCATGTGCCACCATGCACGGCTAATTTTGTATTTTTAGTAGAGATGGGGTTTTTCCATGTTGGTCAGGCTGGTCTCGAACTCCTGACCTCAGGTGATCCACCCAACTCGGCCTCCCAAAGTGCTGGGATTACAGGCGTGAGCCACCGTGCCCGGCAGTAGTTACTATTTTAAGTGGTGATATGGTTTGGATCTCTGTTCCTGCCCAAATCTCGTGCTGAATAGCAATCCTCAGTGTTGGAGGTGGTTGGATCATGGGGGTGAAATTCTCATGAATGGTTTAGCACCATCCTCCCTTGGTACTGTGTAGTGAGCCAGTGAGTTATCATGGGATCTGGTTGTGTAATGGTGTGTAGCACCTCTCCCCTCTCTCTCTTGCTCCTTCTCTGACCATGTAAGACATCCCTGCTTCCCTTTCACCTTCGACCATGATTAAAAGTTTCCTGAGGCCTCCCTGGAAACTGAGCAGATGCCAGCATCATGCTTCCTTTACAGCCTGTGAAACCATGAGCCAATTAAACCCTCTTTTCCTTATAAATTACCCAGTCTCAGGTATTTCTTTATAGCAATGCAAGAACAAACTAATACAAGTGGTATGGGATGGTTGATGAGTGGAGTCTCCAAGAATCTATTAAAGAGAAGAGGGTGAGTGGCAAGCAGGCCTGAACAGATCTTGGAGAAACTGGGATATGAACTAATGACTTGGCATTTATTCTATGGGCCAAGAAATTATAAACTTTCCCACTGAAACACCTCTTATGGCGGAAAGAGCAAACTTGTGCTGCTAAGGTAATATGTTTGGATCTGTGTTCCCTCTGCAAATCTCATGTTGAGCTGTGATCCCCAATGTTGGAGGTGGAGCCTGGTGGGAGGTGATTGATCATAGGGACAATTTCTCATGAATGTTTTAGTACTGTCCCCTTGGTACTGTCCTCAGGACAGTGAGTGAATTCTCATGAGATCTGGTGGTTTCAAAGTGTGTGGCACCTCCCCCTTCCCTCTCTCTTGCTCCTGCTTTTGCCATGTGAAGTGCCTGCTCCCTCTTTGCCTTCTGCCATGATGAAAATCTCCCTGAGGACTCCCCGGAAGCAGATGCCACCATGCTTCCAGTACAGCCTGCAGAACTGTGAGCCAATTAAACCTCTTTTCTTGTAAATTACCCTGTCTCAGGCATTTCTTTATAGTAATATGAGTATGAACTAATATGCAAGGGTTCTGACACCAACTGCTACAACTAAAAAAAAATTCTTTGAAATATTTCAGCCCATCCAAATTTTTCATCTTGGCTATAATATATTCATTTGTTTTCATGTAAAATGATGTTTTTAGTTACTAGCCATCACGTAAAATTAGCATTTTAAAGTGATATTATGTTTAGCTTATGGCTCTGGGACCTGGTCACATACAACAGTTTGGGGAGCACAACCTGAGACAACATGAAGATATTGAACGGCTTTGAGGAACAAAGTAAAATCCAGAAGTTGCTTTTCTGAATTATCTCTGAGCTGCTGTGTAAAAGCGGGGAGATTTGTTTGAAGGCTACTATAACAATCCAAGCGAAACATGATGAGACACTGAAGGCAGACCCTGGCAGGGAGTATGAGAAGAAAGGAACCAATACAGGGAATGAAGAGAGCTTGGGCAAGTCCCTTCACTCCAGAACTCAGCAGAATAAACAGGTTGAACCATATGACAGACAAGGCCCTCCCCAGCCCAAAGATATTGTCACTTTTCTCTGCTTATCTTTACTTTCCCTTATGCTTGCCTCTTAATCTATTATAAGTATTCATAGTTTATTTCACTCAAAAGCCAGCTAAGGGACTTTAGCTGCTAGTTTTGCCAATGAGACAAAATTGTACAGACTTGTTTGTTTTACCTGTTAATATCCCAAGGAACTGTTGTTCTGCGGGACACTCTTTTTTATTTATTTATTAATTTTTTGAGACGGAGTCTTACTCTGTCGCCCAGTCTGGAGTGCAGTGGCGTGATCTCGGCTCACTGCGAGCTCTGCCTCCCGGGTTCACGACATTCTCCTGCCTCAGCCTCCCGAGTAGCTGGGACTACAGGCGCCCGCCACCACACCTGGCTAATTTTTTGTATTTTTTAGTAGAGACGGGGTTTCACTGTGTTAGCCAGGATGGTCTCAATCTCCTGACCTCATAATCCGCCCACCTCGGCTTCCCAAAGTGCTGGGATTACAGGCGTGAGCCACCGCACCTGGCCTCTCAGACTTGTTTGTTTTAAAGGAGGAGAGGAAGTTCTAGATATAAGCAGAGATTTTTTTTTCTTTTTTTTTTTTTTTTTTGAGACAGTGTCTCACTCTGTCACCCAGGCTGCGGTACAGTGGCACAATCTCGGCTCACTGCAACCTCCGCCTCCCTGGTCCAAGCGATTCTCCTGCCTCCCAAGTAGCTGGAATTACAGGCATGTGCCACTGCACCTGGCTAACTTTTGTATTTTTAGGAGAGACGGGGTTTCACCATGTTGGCCAGACTAGTTTCGAACTCCTGACCTCAAGTGTTCCACCTGCCTTGCCTTCCCAAAGTGCTGGGATTACAGGCACGAGCCACTGAGCCCAGCCTATGCAGTGATATTTTGACATAGGATTTGAGTAATTTCCAATTCCAGTTTTGTAACATGTTACCTGACATGTAAAGGCACTCAATAAATAACTGTTGAATTACCGAAGTAATGAATGACGAGTTACGTATTTCAATGCATTCAAAACTTCTTATGGGAAGTCTTCCCTTACATTATCTGTGCAACTTGACCTCATCTTGGCCCTTCTGCCATAATGCAAGGCCTTGTGCTTATGCTGTTGTCTCTGCTTAAAATGCCCTTTGTCTCGTAACCCATCTGGAAAATGTCTACTCACTTGTCATAACTCAGTTCTCACATATATTGTTAGAGAACAGTGTAACTATGTAAAATGAACATAGGCATTAGAGTTGCAAAGACCTAGGTTCACATCCAGGCTCTCACACATACAATGGGAAGCTGTCCCAAGAGTTCTTTCTGTTAACTTTTGGTTTACTAAGTGATAAGGAAAACAAGAAAAACTGTTTTACCAAATCCAGTCATCATTTTCCATGGCTGTGAATCATATTTCTGCAGGCAGTCCAACCTAGTAATAGACAAAGCCTCATATTTGGCTTTGCTCAATGTCTTAAACTGCTGCCAAGTAGAAACATGGCCATGAGTTGAATAGCAAACGTATCTGATGGCATTAAAATCTCAGCTATAACTGGATGCACCAGAACTTTCACTTCATTCAATTTCTGGATTTCAACCAGGTCAAACATGTTGACTAAGCTTGGGCATTGCTGTGCTGCAGGCGTCCATACTTTAAGTTTGGGGTTGACCAAAACTGGGCAAGTTCAGTGAGGCATTCATGGCAAGACTGTGGGAAACCAATTGGAAGGGTGGAGCCCCTCATCCTTCCACTAAACATACATTTTCAGCTTGTACCCTAATCCACCTTGTTGACACACCAGGTTCATGATGCATTTCATCCATTGTCAACACCTTGGCCGTTGAATTCACAGATATGCTCAGCTGTCACCTTCTCTCTCAAGCCTGTTTTCCAGAACCAACACAGAAATACCTGAATTCTACTTTTGTCATTATATATCAAGAGGTCTAGATAAAATAAAAATGTACCTAAAGGGCATGAAATTATAGGCGTTTTGAAACAAACTTCAAGGTAATACCAAACCTATTTTTATACAATTCAGCTACCACATTGCACATTCAACATAAACAAGACCGCCCTTTAACTGAAAGGTAATTTTTGAGACATACTAGGTTTCATTCCTTAGGCAAGTTTCCTAAACTCTCTGTTTCAGTTTCATTGGTATCACATGTGAAGAATAATACCCATGCTGAGACTTTAAAAGAGTATATTAATATATATAATACATTATTTGTAATAGATTATTTCATATGTTATATATCATATAGATTATTACATATATTAATATATGTGATATAATCTATATGATATATAATAATATATGTAGTATATGATGTATGATCTATATAATATATGTAATATATTATGCATAGTGTATATATTATTACTCATATAAAATATACATTATTACATATATTATATATCACATTATTCTATATGTAATATACCATATATAATAATATATGTCATGATAACATGTAATATTACATATATGTTATATGTTATGATAATATATAAAATTAATATATAATCTTATATGCTGTTAATATATAATGTTATATGTTACATATAATATTAATATATAACATATCATTCATATATACTACATATACACTACATATGTACAGTATAAGGATTAATGTATAATATATAATATATCTTACATATATAACATTTATTATATGTTATATATTATTATTATATTTTATAATAACATTGTATTATATGTTATACAATATATAATATGTATGATTATATAATTGATATGTAATGATATTATGATTATTGATATATAATTATTATATAATTATACAATTGTAATATTATATTATACATAACATAATATATACTACATTATATTATATGTTAATATATATGATACATTGTAACATATATATGTAAAAATATATATTACATAATTATATATCATATATGTAATAATATATTGTATAAAATTACATATATAACATATTGTATACATACTATATAATATACATGTTGTATATATACTATATAGTATATATCGCACATATAATATGTATCTATACTATATATCATATAGTATATATTCATATAATATGTAAATATGTATAACATATACATATTATATATTGCATATATAATATATTATCATATATACTATATATTATATATACATATAATATATGTATACATATACAATATATATATTTCTATTTTACAGTTGATTTAAACTGAGGCACATAGTGGTTAAGAACTTGTTAAAACTCAGAGAGCTGGAAGGTGGAAGAGCCAAAGTATTTGACTCCAATAAATGTATACATATATATATATATGTATACATATATGCACAAATATATGTATAGATGTATATATAATATATGTATATAAATATATGCATACGCATATATAATATATGTATACTATACATACATACGCATATATAATATATGTGTACTATACATACATACGCATATATATGTGTACTATACATACAGACGCATATATATGTGTACTATACATACAGACGCATATATAATATATGTGTACTATACGTACATAGGCATATATATGTGTACTATACATACAGACGCATATATATGTGTACTATACATACAGACGCATATATATTATATGTGTACTATACATACAGATGCATATATAATATATGTGTACTATACATACAGATGCATATATATGTGTACTATACATACAGACGCATATATAATATATGTGTACTATACATACAGACGCATATATAATATATGTGTACTATACATATAGACGCATATATGTGTACTATACATACAGACGCATATATAATATATGTGTACTATACATACAGACACATATATAATATATGTGTACTATACATACAGACGCATATATATGTGTACTATACATACAGACGCATATATAATATATGTGTACTATACATACAGACGCATATATAATATATGTGTACTATACATATAGACGCATATATATGTGTACTATACATACAGACGCATATATAATATATGTGCACTATACATACAGACGCATATATAATATATGTGTACTATACATACAGACGCATATATAATATATGTGTACTATACATACAGACGCATATATAATATATGTGTACTATACATACAGACGCATATATAATATATGTGTACTATACATACAGACGCATATATAATATATAATATATAGTATATATACACATTATATGCAATACATTATACAGTATATGTACATATATGTACATATACTGTATAATATATAATATGTGCAATATTATATTATATATTATTATATATTATATCATTTATTAATATATCATTTTATGTGAAATGCATAATATATTAATATATGTAATTCATATTATATATTACATATAGTATGTAATTTAGATTATATATTACATATAATATGTAATTTTGATTATATATTACATATAATATGTAATTTTGATTATATATTACATATAATATGTAATTTTGATTATATATTACATATATGTAATTTATATTATATAATCATATATTATTATATTATAGTGCATGACATATTATATAATTATGTATTATTATATGTTATATATAATTACAGGTTTTCTGTTATATATTATAATATATAATGATCATATATAATATGTAATATGTAATAGTTATATATTGCATTTATAATAATCTATTATTGTGTACCCAATAATCTATCATTGTATATATTATATATTAAGTATACATTATAATATCTTATTGTACATAAATTATATGTTACATATATAATGATATTTTATTGTATATGAAATATTGTATATATGATACATAATATAAATGTATGTAAAATAAGTATTATATACATAATAAATATTATCATGTATAGTATGTATAATAATTTGTTATCACATATTTAATAATATATTATACTTATGTATATAATACACACACTATATATATTTATATATATCTGGCACACAGTGGATGCTCAATATCCTATTGGTATCTGTAAGTATGCCTCAAAAACTCTACTTTTTACATTGTTTCCTCCCTCAGTACTGTGCTTATAGAATGTGTGTCTATCTACTTTGTGCAACTACACATTCCTTGTGTTTTTTATGAGTGTTGTGGGAGAGGACAGATGAATAATGTACGTTGAGTATCTGCCATAGACCAGGCTTAAGTGAGATGCTTTTCATACAGTATTTCGTGGCTCCTTCCCCAAACTCTGTAAGGAGACATTGAATCCCCATCACAGGGTGATGAAAGTCCAAGGACCTTGGACCATGTGTGATGCCATATTCTCTGCATCATATTTGTGCATCGTAGTGTAGGGACCGAGGTCAAAGCAATTGTTCAGTAAATATAGGAGAATTCTCCCTTGGATTCTTTTTTTTTTTTTTTTTTTGAGACGGAGTCTCGCTGTGTCACCCAGGCTGGAGTGCAGTGGCAGGATCTCAGCTCACTGCAAGCTCCGCCTCCTGGGTTCAGGCCATTCTCCTGCCTCAGCCTCCCGAGTAGCTGGGACTACAGGCGCCCGCCACCACACCCGGCTAATTTTTTGTATTTTTAGTAGAGACGAGGTTTCACCGTGTTAGCCAGGATGGTCTCGATCTCCTGACCTCGTGATCCGCCCGCCTCGGCCTCCCAAAGTGCTGGGATTGCAGGCATGAGCCACCGCTCCCGACTCTCCCTTGGATTCTTGAGGCCCCTTCCTGGAGTCTAATGCTCACTAAGGCTCGGTATTTGTGAGCAAGCACTTTGGAGTCAAATACTTTGGCTCTTCCACCTTCCAGCTCTCAGACTTTTGACAAGTTCTTAACCACTATGTGCCTCAGTTTAAATCAATTGTAAAATGGAAATCATGATAACATCTACCTCATATTATATTTGTTTTCAGAATAAAATGAAATAGTATATGTAAATTATTTTGTATAGTGCCTAGCATATAGTAAGTGCTCAATAAATGTCCCCTGAGTGGCACTACTGGAAAGATTCAGGAAGCTGCCTATCCAGCGTGGTAGGTCTAAGCCTCAGCAGCCTGCAGAAACTTGGGTGCTGTTGTTCACGGGAAGTGAAGCCCATTTTTAGCTGTGACAGTCTCACAGTTGACAAAGGAATGGTATTCATTTCCTTCAAAAGTTGTTTTGTTCTCTTTCCAAGGCTTTAGGGCAAATACTGGCTCAATAGGAAGCTCTCCGAAGGGTGAGTCAACAGTCACTCATTCTAAAAGGTGATTCACATGCCAGAGTGTGCAGTCCACAAATGTTATGGGGGTGGTACCTCTTGGGGAGAGACTGACAATGCCCTTAAATGAGTTGTTTATGATCACAAGCTGCTCATGAACAGACATGAGAACAGATGTGCCAATTAATTTCTCATATCCCCTCCACACTCCTTCACAAAGGGCACAACTCTTTCTCAAAAAGATGCTAAACTTGAGAATGACTAGCATCATTTCTCCCAAACCCCAGGCCTTTTCAAAACTTGGGCTCACCGAGAGTCAGAGGTAGAGCTGGAGATTTGGATGTTTCAAAGATTTGTGCATTCATATTGAGGTAAAATGAGAAAATTCTTGAAAAGCTGCCTGGAGGGGGATTTTGGAGTCTTGGGGGATTTCAGTGGATTGATGGCCTTGCTCCTGAATTTTTACTTGATGACAAACATTTTGTCAAAATCCAAAATTATTAATCTAATATTTTTCTGTTTGTTTCTTCCAGTAGACTGTGCACACCTCAGGGATACCAAATCTTACTTTGTATCTGTAACAGGTATGTTTGTGAAGTCCAGCATTAGCAATGTGTCAAAATGCCTGAGTCTGAATCTGAGCTTTAGGCAAGTTATTTAATCTCTCAGTGCCCCAATTTCCTCATCTATAATATGGAGACTCCAAATAATACCTACCTGGTAGGGTTACTGTGAACATTAATTGATCTGATGCATTGCCACTCAAAGTGGGATCCAAGACCAAAACAGGTCTACAAACTGTTAGCTGTCCCCTGACAGTTACCTACAGGAAGTAAGAGTAACCTCTGTAGCCGTTGCATTTTACCACAGTAGTTTCATTATATTTTACAAATATATTGGACAGTAGTAGATCATAAAACAATTTTTTAACTAGTTCTTCATCATTATTTGAGACCCACTAGTAATGTATCTCTTCTAATATAGATGTGTTCCAGCATCTGCTTATTAAAATGTATATTGTTTTATTATAAATACACTCCTCTAGCTTCTTCTTCATGATTTTTCCTTCATGGTTGTCTTTGAGCTTGGTGCGTCAGTAGTATGATTTCTATTTCTGGATTTTTTTTTTCTTTTCTTTTTTGAGATGGAGTCTCACTCTGTCGCCAGGCTGAAGTGCAGTGGCACAATCTCGGCTCACTGCAACCTCTGCCTCCTGGGTTTGAGCAATTCTCATGCCTCAGCCTCCTGAGTATCTGGGATTACAGGCATGCACCACCACATCCAGCTAATTTTTGTATTTTTAGGAGAGATGGGGTTTGATCATGTTGGCCAGGATGGTCTCGATCTCCTGACCTTGTGATCCACCCACCTCAGCCTCCCAAAGTGCTGGGATTGCAGGGATAAGCCACCACGCCTGGCCTATTTCAGGATTTTTAAAGGAGATACGTATAATGTGTATTACTACAAGTGGGTGTTATAGAGTTGACAAGCACTAATGAAGAGTTTTATTTAATGTAAGGGCTTGGATTTGATTCTAGGATGGAGTAAGAGTGCTATAGTGTTCTAAGTGAAAAACCGGGGAGCATGATGTGAGAGGGGCTTCTAAGAAATTTCATCCTCTGGCAATCTGATGGGTGATAGGATCTCCTTCTGGGTTCCAGGAAAGCTCCCTTGATGAGGTCCTGGTTGAAAGCATCCTTTCCCACCTAATAGGGAACTCCATATCGTAGAGTATGGATTTTGCTCAAAATTAACTTATGAAATATTGGACCAGAGCAAATATTTAACCAGTGAAACTGTCATAAAAGTTACTGTTTTCCAAGTCTGCTAGTTCAAAAGCATTTAAGGGGGTGCAATTTTCTCTTCTGTGTAATGAGAGATTTATAATAGATGAATAATAGTGTGGTATAGCAGAAATAATAAAGGCTTTGGAATCAGACATAACAGTGTTTTTGTTTTTTGTTTTTCTCTACCACCTATTGACCAGCAAGTAACTTAACCTCTGGGCCTCAGATTCCTCACCTGTAAAATGGGGAAAATGACACTTCACCTTGTGGGCTCTTGTGAGAGTGAACATGATAATGCAATGTGTCCCTGACATATAGTATTTCAAGCATTGTTAGCTGCTATCCCCTGTCCTTATGTTTTCATGAAGGCATTTCTGTAAAGTAAATTAAACATGGCTGTAATTTTTTTACTATTCCTGTCACTGACTAGTGGAGTCTAATTCTCCACCCCTTGAGTCTGAGCTAATGTTAGTGACTTGCTTGACCAACAGAATGTAATAGAAATCATGTTCTGGGACTTACAAAGCCAGCTTGTAAGAAACCTTGTAGCTTTCATCTGGGCCTCTAGAAAAATTAGCTATGGGGGAAGTCAGCTGCCACATAAAAAAAAAAAATCTGATTAGTCTAAGTCTTTCATGCTGTGAAGAAGCCCAAGCTAGAAAAGTAGGGAGGCCAATGGGAGAAGAGATGCCCTGGCACACCAGCCATCCCAGCCCACATACCAGGCACAAGTGAAGAAGTATTCAGAAAACTCCAGAGCCAGCCACCATCTCTGACTATAATTGTATGAAAGACCCTGAGTGAGAACCACCCAGCTAAACAGAACTGTGAGAGAAAATTGTACTCTGTCTAGGTAACCACTGGTTTAGGAATGGTTTGTAAAGCAGCAGTAGAAAGCCAGGGCATTCTGCTAGAATAAAATTTTTGGTCCTCCTGCCTCTTGCTAACTAATTAGTGATGGATGGTTTCACAATAGTTTAGCCTCCATTAGTCTACAATCCCATATCGGCTGGGGTTAAGGTATTCAAACTGGTGCTCCCACATGGCCCACCCTTCCTTCCCATTTTGTGACCTGTGAGCTTTCTCTTCCTTCTGCTCTGTGAGGCAGGTGGTTGTTTCTTGGGGGAGGGCTGCTTGCCCAGCTGTGTCTAGGTAGCTAAGTATGAAGAAGCCAATTTTGCTTCAGGGTGAGGCTACTTTTGTCAGTCTAAATCTGGTGTGTTTATCTTCTCTTTGACTCAACTGGTTCAGAACCAGTGGGGAGTATTGAGACTGGCACCTCAGGGAGACCCCCAAGCTTCCAGCTCTGACATACAGCAAAGTAAATGGTCGAGTGTTAAGCCGATTCCTAACTTGCCCTATGCCCTTGCTTATAAGCAATTCTTGCCCATATTGCTAATAATGTGTTTAATTTCCTCAAATTTACAAATGACCTAAAAGAATTAGAGTCATGGTTAGTAAGTTTGCTGGTTTCTCTTGACACTTTCGATGAATGGCTTATATTAAGCACATTACAAAGAGTAAGACAAAAACTTTCCACCAAAGCCAAGTTGGTAAACAAAGCCCCATAGACTGCCATCATAACCTGTACAAAACTCAAACACAACTTCTGATTTCCTTGGTCAGCCTGAAGCCGACAATGTGCATCTGCTCTATTGAATTCTGTTGGGCCTTTATTATTTCTTTCAGTTACCGCTGTGCTACTTCCAATTATTCTTGCTGTTCAGGACAAAAAAAAGAATGAAAATTCTGTTAAGGTTACAGATATGGCATTTTCTGCCTATTTTGTATGATAATTGCATTTCCTTAATTTATTCATCCACTCAGTAAATTTTGAATGCAGAATTTAAAATAATAGCAGCATTATTCATACTAGCCAAAAAATGAAAACAACCCAAATGTCCATCAACTGAAGAATGGGTAAACAAAATGTAATACAATTGAGTATTATTTGGCAACAAAAAGGAATGAAGTACTCAACATGGATGAACCTTGAAAACATGATGCTAAGTGAAAGAAGTTACAAAGCACTACATATTATATGATTCCATTTACATGAACTATCCAGAATAGGAAAATCTAGGAAGACAGAAAGTTGACTAGCGGTTGCCAGAGGTTGAGAAGAAGGAAAGGAGTGACAGCTGATGAGGTTTCTTTTTGGGGTGAAACTGATGTTCTAAAATTAGATGATGGTGATGGTTACACAAGTCTGTGAATATGATTTTTTTAAAGTTGATTTGTATGCCTTAAAGGGTGAAAGTTATGGTATATGAACTATATATTAATAAAGTTGTGATGAAAAAATAAGACCTTTATTTGGGACATAACTGAAAAAATAGGAAGAATGTTGATGGCCTAATAATATTAAAAGACAAAAAATAGGTGTTGTGAACTGAATGTTTGCATCCTCCCAACATTCCTATGTTGAAGTCCCCTAATGTGATGGTATTAGCAGATGGGGCCTTTGGAAGGTGATTGAGTTTAAATTAAGTCATGAGACTGGGCCCCTCATGATGGGATTAGTGCCCTTATAAGAAGAGCAAGAAAGTGACACCTCTCTCTCCACAAGCACACACTGAGGAAAGGCCATGTAAGGACACCACAAGCAGGCACCATCTATGAGGCAGGAAGCAGGCTCTCACCAGACAGTGAATCTGCCAGCACCTTGATCTCGGACATTCCAGCCTTCAGAACTGTGAGAAGTAAGTCTGTTGTTTAAGCCACCCAGTCTGTGGTATCTTGTCATAGCAGCCTGAGCTGACTCTAACAGCAGGATACAAAATTCAATATAACCATAACTATGTAATACAAATGTACAGGACAAAAAATACATCTAAAAAAGGCTCAAAGTGTTAACACTATTCTCTCTGAGTGATCAAAATACTTTTTTTTTAACTTCTGTTTTTAAAGTGCTTGTAAAACACCAAATAGTAGCTCACGTTGACTGGCCTCTTCCTCCACACCAGGATCTCAGTTGGTCCTCACAACTATCCTATGAGGCAGGAACTGAGCTCTACATGCCTGTATTTTACATATTGGAAAAGTGAGACCCAGAGAGGCTAGGTAATTTGTTAAAGATCGCACAGCTACACATGACAGAGTATATATTCAGACTTCAGTCTGTCGGACTCTACAACTTGCACTTTTTAAGTGCCAACAGCAACAAACTTTATATTCTTCCTTTCCCTCGCCCCAAATTTACATTCCAAACATGTTATGCTACTGTAAAATCTTAACCGTTATTTGTGTATTCATATTTTGATACTGAAGGGAGGAGAATAAGCCTACTGGGGTGGCTCAAAAGCTTAGGCTGGCCTGAGAGAGTAAATTGTCACTTTGAGAATATGAATGAATTATTAAAGCCCACTTAGTAACTTGTTTCATCCAAGGGCCTCCTTCATCCTTTCCAGCTTTTGTTTATTTTATTTTATTTTTCTTTTAAAAGCCAGCCAAATTTAGCAGTGGATGGGGGCTGTATACCAACTTTAGTGACATTAATGTTAGTAAGTTCTGCTAACCCACAATCATCAACCTTTTGTTTATTTTAAAAACACCTTCTCGGCCAGGCGCGGTGGCTCATGCCTATAATCCCAGCACTTTGGGAGGCTGAGGCGGGTGGACCACTGGAGGTCAGGAGTTCAAGATCAGCCTGGCCAAACTGGTGAAACCCCATCTCTACTAAAAATACAAAAATTAGCTGGGCATGGTGGCTGGTGCCTGTAATCCCAGCTACTCAGGAGGCTGAGGCAGGAGAACTGCTTGAACCCGGGAGGCAGAGGTTGCCGTGAGCCTAGATCCCACCATTGCACTCCAGCCTGGGCGACAAAGCAAGACTCGGCCTCAAAAAAAAAAAAAAAAAAAAAAAAAAAGAAAAGAAAAGAAAAAGAAAAGAAAACCTTGTCAATGGCTGAACTGTGGAATCACAGAACCCCAAGGCTGGTAAGACCTCAAAAGCCATCAAGCCCAGTTCCCAATGTGATGGTACATCCTGAAACCCCACCCCCCCATCAAGGAACACCCTAACGATTACTCAAATACAGCTCCATGAGCAAGAGCTGCCCTCAACACCATGATCCCAGCATGGCCCAGCTCTTGGCTGCATCTGTGTTCTCACTTTGAGAGAATTTACTACCACCAAATTATCTGCAGAGAAAAATAGAGCAAATAGACTGTTGTCCTTACTTTTCCCTCATGGAAAAGGAATTTTAATGTGCTGCAACAAGTTGCTTGTCCAACACATTCAAGATAAGTCAGTGTCTAACTATGGCAGGAAGTGTCACCGATGCTCTGCCAAGAAGCACCTAGTGCCAGGCCAGGCTGCCTCTGACCAGGAGCTTCTTCCCGACGTTCCTCCTGCTCCAATCTTCCATATCTCAGCAAACGGCACCTGCATCCCTCGCACTGCTCAAGCTGAAAACCTAGGAGTTATTCCTGTTGCCTCCCTCTTCCTCACCCCCACAGCCAATCTGTCACCAAAGCCTGTTGATTATACCTCCAAAATATATCTCAATTTCATCTAGTTCTCTCCATTGCCACTACCCATGTCCAAACACTGTTGTTTCCCATCTGGACCCCTGCTCTCCCCACTTTCACAATAGTCTCCCCGAAACACACACACACACACACACACACACACACACACCACAGTCTATTAGCCATCCAATACCCAAAGTGATCTTTGAGAAAAGTATACTAGATATGCCACTCTTCTGCTTAAAGCCCCATAAATAGCTTTCCATTGCACCAAGAATATCATTAAAAATCCTCCCTGGTGATTCCTAGGGCCCCTGTGATCTGGCCTCAGCCTACCTCCTGGCTTCATCTCACACCACTCTCCAGCTCATTCATTGTATTCTAGCCTTGGTGGCCAGCTTTCAATGTCTGCCTGCCTTGGGGCTCCCACGATACCATCCTGGAATATTCTCCCTGCACTGTCCTATCTTGCCATCCGCCCCCACAATCTTGCTATGACTAGTTCCCATTCCTCCTCCAGGCATCAGCTTAAATGTTTCTTCCTCAGAGAGGTCTTCTATGACTTTATATTAGCTCCCTGTGAAGGCCAGGGCTCTTCTCTTGCAGATATCAGAAACCCAATTCTAATTGATTTAGTTAAATAATAGTCTTCCAATTAAATAAATAAACACAAGAAAATTTATTGACCCATGGAACTGAAAAGTGTAGAATTCTTGCTTTAGGCACATGGAACCAGAGCTCAAATGATGTCATCAGAACTGGATTCGGCTCCATCTCTTCATGCAAGCTTATATTCAAGAAATATTTATTATCTATTATACACCAGGCACTCTTTTAGGTACTGGGGATACATCAGGGAAGAAAAAAAAATCCTTGCCTTCAGGGAGCTGTCATTCTAGCAAGGGAAGAGGCACACACACACACACACACTAAAGATAGTAAATAAGTAAAGTATAAACCTATATTAGAAAATGTCCCTGCTGTGAAAAAAAAAAAAAAAAAAAAAAGAATAAGATAAGGCAGATTAGGAGTGCCAAAAGTTGGGAAGCAGGTCTTGCCATTTTAAGTAGAGAAGTCATGATAGACCTCTATAAGAAGGTGACATTTGAGGAAAGATTTGAAGGAGGCGAGGGAATGAGCCCTGTGAATATCTGAAATGGACAATTTTTAGGCTGAAGGAACGACCGATGAAAATCCCTACCCAACAGCATGTCTGCCTTCCTGAGGCCAGGAAGGGAGCAGATGTGGCTGGAGTGGAGTAAGCAAGGGAGGAGGGAGGATGGAAGGAAGGGACAGGTAGCAAAGGCCTAATCCCACAGGGCCTAGCAAGCCATTGCAGGGGTTTGAGCAGAGGAGTTGAAAAATCTGGCTTACATCCTAAAAGAGTCATTATTCAACGTGCGCTGAGCAAAGATTTCAGTGGAGGGCAAGAGAAGAAGCAGAGAAGCCAGTTAGGTGGCTACTGCCGTCATCCAGTGAAAGTGGCTTGGACCGCCATGAAAGAAGTAAAGGTGGTGAGAAGGGGCTGGATTCTAAATGCAACTTTGACAGATTGGATGTAGGGTATGCTAGAATGCCCAGGATAAAGACTTCAGTTCCCAAGCCTCCCTGAAGCTAGGTGGAGACACCTAATTCTAAATTTTGGCTCATGGGACATAAACAGAAGTAGGTGGGCAATTTCTCAGAGGGAAGAGGCATGCCCTCCTCCCCACCCCTCACCTCTGTCTTGCTGGTTGACATTCAGCTGTTACACTGGCAGCCATCGTGGGTCATGCCAAGGAGGACAACACCTTAATGAACCACACAGTGACCCATGGAGGAACTGTCACACTAGCCCTGGTCTGCTAATGCATGGCTTGTTACATGAGAAAGACATTTCTACCCTATTTAAGTCATTTTCCTTAGGTCTCTGTAAGAGAAGTCAAATGTTTATCGTACCTAAAATAATGGCCATACAGTGTTCTTCATCTCATCAGTTACATCAGGGCTTTACCTTGCAATCTGATGGTTTAGATCAACACAAGGGGGATATTTTGATGGCAGAAATTAAATCATTTAGAAATTGCTATAAGAAAGTAAGAAGTGTTAATATCTTTTCATAATGCACTATTTGGTTCACAAAATATTTTTAACTGCCTTATTTTATGTAATTCTTGAAGCAACATAGCAAATGAAGCATTATTCTCCACTCTCCTGTGACTACCCAGTGGGTCAGGACCATATCTTCAGTTCAGGGCCTGGCATTCAAGGGTGTTACATTATTAATAAACGAATGAGCAAATGCTTGGATAAGTGGAAAGTGTGATTCCCCATTTTCAGGATGCTAAAAACAGTTCAATGGAGTTAAGCGGCTTGATCCAGGAAATACAGTTTGTAGGTGGTGAAGACAAACAGCTATGTCCTCTGAGTTGACATTTCGCTTTGGATTTTACCAAAAATGAAAGGAGGCAAGAGAAAGACGGAAGAAAGGAGAGAGAAAGCTAAGGGGGAACTAAAGAAAAAGAAAAGAGTTAGTAAGCAGAGAGCTTGCCATTTTTCTGGGATATATCATTTGAAGGGAAGGAAACAAGTGCACACAGGATTTCCTCACCTCCAAGTCCTCAGGATGTAGCATGGCTGATGCAGCAAAGATTCTCAAAGACTTGGCATCTTTCCAGAGGCAAAGCACACCAGAGCAGGCACTTGCACCCGTGGCCATCTGAACTCCAGAGCTGCTTCAAATCACTTTCTCACTGGCAGATTCTTGACACTGATACTCTCTCTGGGTCATGGATACTCCTGTAAATGCAGATCATTAAAAAACCCAGACCAGCAAAGCTGATTGTGTTTACCGGGAGCAGAAAGGGGTGTTCTTTTCCCTCAAGTCATTCTTATGTGATTTTAAACTTTCCTGCTTGCACAACCTGAAGGGAAATCATTAGACTCAAGTTGTTATTTGGTTTTATTTATTTTTAAAATCATTCTGCAGCTTTAGAGTCCGTCTGTTCTACTCATTTAGCAGAGGAGGATGTGGGCAGGGCCAGATGATCTCAGATATAAAGTGAGATGCAAGAGTGTGATATTTATCTCAGGCTGAGGCTGACTGCAAAGGGCCATGATGGCCAGAAATGACAGAGCCCTCCTCCCTGCGCTACACAGCAGGGGCTGGTCCCCTGTGACCTTCTTAGGCACAACTCATTGCAGAGCTGGACCCTCACTTGAGTGGGGGCTGCTATGAACACTGACCTACAATGGCTGTTAAGGTCAAAGCCAGAGGAGGTTTGTATGCAGCACTGCTGAGAAAGACTGTTACCTGAGGCAGTGATACTTGTTAACCAGACCCCAGGCGAGCCCTTTCCACTTAGGATGTCATTATTTCATTTTGTCTCATACCATTTCGTCTTTCCAACAGCCTTCTGAAGTAGAGGTTCTTACCTACCATTACAGATGGTGAAACTGAGGCTGGAGAAGATGAGGACCTTCTAAAGGCACATGGCTAATAAATGGCACAGCCAGAGCTCCAGCCTGTTCACGTTCCACTCCACCATTCACTGTTCATGCCAGTGAACATCACCTTTTTCTTTCTGAGAATCCACCTAAGTTCTTAAATTAGAACAAGCCGTGATCAGACAAAATGGAAATAAAGATGAAATCCCTGCTGTAGAATGTAAGGGTGGGTGTGGGTCTACAGGCTGTCCTGGGAAGGGCCTCAGATGACTCTGTGCTCCCTCCCCCAGGCCCAGGCAGTCTCAGCCCCAGGCCAGGATGGGAAGATACAGAGGCCCAAGGAAAAAGGGGAAAGGGGCCCTTGCTCTGGGGCTAATGAGGTGTAACCACTGCACCCCCAGGCGACAGAGCCTTCCAACATCTCTGGCTCCTTTTATGCCAGATTCAAGCTAATGCTGAAAAATCCAAGTGGTCATATTATATTTTCAAAGGCTTAGTCGGATCAGTAAGAAGAATGCCCTGGAATCTTCACTGATGCAGTGAGGTCTGTTTCCAAGACATGGGGCCTAGAAGCCAAGAATCTCACTGAATCTCATCTGGGCTGCTTAACAGGGGAAAATCACAGCAAGTTCAAGGTGTTGGTGACTGTGATGGAAATGGGCTTCAGTGAGCATGAAATTAAATCAAATAAAAGCGTGGAAAACCTTGAAAAATCCCTTCCCATCTTAAATGAAAACACAGAAAATGTATATGAATAATTCCTTGATGTCCAGTTTTTTCTTCCAAAGTAAATCCCTCGAAGGGTTAGAACAGTTAGGGACAGCATGTGGCCTTCAAAACACACCCTCATATGTAAATAATTAACACAATATCTGTACTTTCAAAATTATTTTTACTATCATATTTTACCTAAACAATGACTTTCTAAAAACAGTTCTTGGCTTTCTCATAAATGTGATAGAAAACAACCTGTGGCATGGAGTTTATACGTAAAACACATTGTGGAAGACCTTCTACACTTTAAGTCCTCAAGTCAGAATAAACAAAAAGATGGCAATATGAGATTTTTGTTGATGCTCTTAGTAGGTCTATTTTATTATATTATGCAGGGTTCTAAAATAGATGATGAGATTCTCATCCTATGAAATGTCCTATGTCTGAGGTAGGACATTAGGAGCTGTGTCAAAATAGGTAAAGATAGAGACCTTGATGTGGCTTGGATGCAGTCTGTGTCCCCACCCAAATCTCATGTTCAATTGTAATCCTCAGTGTTGGAGGTGGGGCCTGGTGGGAGGTGATTGGATCATAGGGGCAGTTTCTAATGGTTTAATGCCATCCCCCCATCCCGGGTGCTGTTCTCAGGCTGTTGACTGAATTATCAAGAGATCTGGTTGTTTAAAAGTGTGCAGCACCTTCCCACCCCCACCTTCCTCCTACTGCAGCCATGTAAGATGTGCCTGCTTCCGTTTCACTTTCTGCCATGATTGTAAGTTTCCTGAGGCCTCCTCATTCATGCTTCCTATACTGCCTGTGGAAATGTGAGCCAATTAAACCACTTTTCTTCATAAATTACCCAGTCTCAGGTAGCTCTTTATTACAATGCAAGAGCAGACTAATACAGACCTGTTCAGTTTAATTCAACAAATATTTGTTGAACACATATGAATCATATATGTATGAAGAATTGTACCAAGTGTGAGAAAGAGCCAAAGTTGAACAAGTCGGATCCCTGCCTTCAGAACCCAAAATCAGGTGGGAGAAATAACTTTAAGCTACATATTTTCTCACATCTCTGGAACTAGGATGCATCTTACAATTGACACCGTGTCAAAACATAATTGGCAGACCTTTTTTGTCTTTTAGGGGCACATAAAATAATGGAGTCACTTACTATCCATTACAATGCAATTTAAGTTTGATTAAATATGGCAGTTATTACATAAGACAAGAGACAGACAATGCTAAAGTAAAGAGGTTTGAAATTCCCGTTCAAACCCAAAAGCACCACCCTCCTTGCGAGAGTATTTGTAGTTAAGTCCTTAAGAGTAAATAAGGTAGTGAAGTAAGGAATGATTATACAAAAGCTCTTATAAAATTTTTTGTTTGCATTAATAAAACAATAAAAATGCACTGCTATTTTATAAATTTAATCAATAATAACGAATATTACACAATCCATTTCCATTTACTTTTCTTTATTTCCTTGAAATTCTTTAGGATCTCCCTCTTTTAGTCACACTAAGATGGTGGCAGTAAACTTGTTTTACTCACCGGTAGATAATATGCAGCTACGAGCAGTTTTATTTTCCAGAACCTGATCTTTCACTTAAATATTCCATTTTATTTTGACTGCATGGCTCAAAGTTATTGTCCAGTCCATGGGTCACTGATTTCCCAGAGATGAAGAACAATGTAGAAGCTCGAGAGGAAAGCAAACAACAAACATAATTTTGGGTGAACATTTTTCCAGTATTCTTAGCTCAGTATATCTGATAGGTGTTTCTCAACCAACAAAACTTCCCACCAGTAATCTCCTCCTCAGACTCTCTGTATACCCCATGCTTCAGCCACAGTATATTACTGCTAATCCCTAAACACATTCTGTACCGTTCATGCCCACTGACCTTTGCTCATGTTTCTCCCTTTGCCTGGAATGTTCTTTCTCTATCTCTATTTCTCCACTTAAAAAACTCATGCTCAATTTTCAAAACCCAGGTCAAACACTACTGTCTTAATTTGGGACTTCCCCAGGAAAGCAGAACCTGAGATAGGGCTTGAAGATCATGATTTATTTAGGAAGTGATCCCAAGGCTTATGGAGCAGGACTGGAAAAGAGGGAAACAGTGAAGGGGAGAGAGTCAATATAAAATAAATACTGAGTTGTTCCCTTCTGTGGGCCACTGGAGCTCCACCAAACATGGACCACTTGAGGATCTGCAAAGGATGGACTTCAGAACTGTTACCTGCAGGATGGATGAAGGGAACATTCATTCACCAGCTCCTGCTCCCCATTGGTCATCAGTTGCCTCATGGAACATTAACACCTTCGTTTTTCCAGGTTGTGCTTGAGCCTGAGGAGCCCTGATGCAGAAAGGGAGAGATGCACGGTGCTGTCAGTTTGCACTTGTGTGAAGCTTGTTGCCATGGCAATAGCTGGAGTAAAAGGTGTGCTGAGATGATGAGAGGTGTTGCACAAGAGGTCACTTTCCTAACATGCACAGGGTTAACTGTGCCCCATAAGACCTCCAAGCTGCCAAGTACCGACCTCTCTCACACAGCATTTGTCTTGTTGCATTGATGATAAATAGTTTATATATTGAGCATGAACTCCTTAGCAGTGATGACAGGGTCTTGTTCACCTCAGTGGCTATCCAGCATAGTAACTAGCACACAGCTACAGTCTTAGGATCTCTCAATGGAGTGAAAATTCAAGTTTTAAATGAATGGGTAATGTTATAGCAGTGAGTCTATTTCTCAAGCAGTTGATTGACTGTTCAAATGAAACCTTATAATGGAAAGAAATCCAGTATAAATAAAGGGAAAATAAGTCAGGCAGCTGAAAACAGTTGACATTGATAAAGATGTGATCATTTGTGATCATGGGGAAAAGGAATTATTTTAATAAAATTATCAGTTGTAGTTGGTGGGATTTTTTTCTTAAAAAATCAGACCTCCTCCCAAAATCACATATATCATATTACTGACCGCTCCAT
Source organism: Homo sapiens (assembly GCF_000001405.40). Classification (NCBI taxonomy): domain Eukaryota; kingdom Metazoa; phylum Chordata; class Mammalia; order Primates; family Hominidae; genus Homo; species Homo sapiens. The sequence continues at coordinate 58,714,199 of NC_000001.11, read as the reverse complement.
ACATACACCAATCCAAAGTAAATTTCAGTGAAATCACATTGCTAAAATCTGTATTTAATCTCACTGGATCCCTACAATAACTCCCCGATTCACTCAGAACAAAAGCTAATGTCCTTACAATGACAGTAAAGCCCCACCACATATGACCCTGTTGCCTGTCTGTCTTCCTCTCCTACTGCCCCCATTGTTGCACACTTCTCTCCACCTCCCTGGCCTCCACCAGGCACATTCCAGCTTGGAATCTTTGCACTGGCTGTTTTTTTTTCACTTGGAGCTCTTTCTTCCATTATCAGCTTGGCAAACTCCTTCACCTTTTCTTTTTCTTTTCTTTTCTTTTCTTTCTTTTTTTTCTTTTCTTTTCTTTTCTTTCTTTCTTCTTTGAGACAGAGTCTCACTCCATTGGCTTGGCAAACTCCTTCACCTTTTCTTTTCTTTTTTGTGACAGAGTCTCACTCTGTTGTCCAGGCTGGAGTGCAGTGGTGCAATCTTGGCTCACTGCAACCTCTGCCTCCTGGGTTCAAGCAATTCTCCTGCCTCAGCTTCCTGAGTAGCTGGGACTACAGGTGTGTGCCACCACACCCAGCTAATTTTTGTATTTTTAGTAGACATAAGGTTTCATCACGTTGGCCAGGCTGGTCACAAACTCCTGACCTCAGGTGATCCACCTACCTCGGCCTCCCAAAGTGCTGTGATTACAGACATGAGCCACTGTGCCCAGCCACTCTTTCACCTTTTCAAGGCTGACCTTATGTCACCTTTCCAATAAGGCCTACCCTGAATTCCCTATTTAGAACCTATAGCCCTCAACCACCATAAACTCCTTCTCTCCTTAGCCTGTTCCTTTTCTTTCTTTTTTTTTTTTCTGGCACTCAATCACCTCTAATAAATGTATAATTAAATTATTATGTCTCTTTTTTATTTTCTTTCCCCTCTGCTAGGAATGTGAGCTCCACCACGGTAGGAAACATTGTGATTTTTATTCATTGGTTTATCCCAAACTTCCAGAACAGTGTCTGGCACATAGTGGGTGCTCAATAAACACTTACAAAATTGAATTGAGTATCTTGACGCTCTGGAGGTAACAATGTGCTTCATAATGTAGATGGTGTGTCAGTCATCCATTCCCCAAACACTGATTGGGCACCTACAAAGGGCCAGCATGAATAATTTAGACATAGTCTTTGTTTTCAAGGAGCTCCTAGGCAAGTGTGGACTCAGGCAGGGCCACAGACGATATTCAGAGCGATGAGCACTCTAACACAAGCATGCACAGTGGCTGTAGGGTCACAGAGGAGGGAGGGTGTGGCTCGTTAGAAAGATATTAAGTGAGGAGACTACTCTAAAGCTGACTTTTCTTGCAGAAAGGGAACTACCTAGACAATAAAGAGAAGGGCTAGACTAGGTTTTGTGCTCATGCATTCTTTTTGTGTGTGTGTATGCATATATTCTACCATGCATGAGCTATAGAAATGGGAGACAGCACAGGTTTATATTCTTCAAAAGTCCTTTAGAATCAATACAGAATGAGCTGTTTTCCTAAACTTAGTTATTTGCCTTCTGTCGCCCTTCATTTCCCCCAAAAGTAGAGACTCTAAACAGGCACTAGAACTTCATAGATCTCTCCCTCATTAATGGGAAGGGGCTTTGGGACTCTATTTATGTTAACAATTTTCCCCTTCTCTGTGAGGTTTTGTATTTTTATCAAAATCATGCTCCAATTTCTTGTCTTTATTTTTACTTGTTTTTAATTATGATAAAATAGCCATAACATAAAATGTATCAGCTTTATCCATTTTAAGTATACAGTTCAGCGGCATTAAGCACAGTCACATTGTTATGCTACCATCACCATCATCCACAGGATTCTTTTCATCTTACAAAACTGAAGCTCTGTAACCATTAAAACTAACTCCCCATTTCTCTCTACTCCTGCCCCTGAACCATAATTCTGTTTTCTGTCTCTAGGAGTTTGACAACACTAGGTAGCTTATATAAGTGGAACCACACGTTACTTGTCCTTTTGTGATTGTGCTGTTTCACTTAGCACAATGTTCTCAGGGTTTATTCACATTGAAGCATATGTCAGAATTCCCTTTCCTTTTAAGACTAAATAATATTCCATTGTATGTATATGCCACATTTTGTTTATCCCTTCATCCATTAAGAGATAATTGGATTGCTTCCACCTTTTGGCTATTGTGAATAATGCTGCTGTGAACACTGGTGCACAAATATCTCTTTAAGTTCTTGCTTTCAATTTTTTGGACATATACCCAGAAGTGGAATTGCTGGATTATATGGTAATTCTATTTTTAATTTTTTTGAGGAACCACGATACTATTTTCCATAGTAGCTGCATTATTTTATATTGCCACTAATGCACAAAAGTTGTAATCTCTTCACAGTCTATCCAACACTTGTTTTTTTTTTTTTGGTTTTTTTGAGAGTAGCCATTCTAATGGGTGTAAGCTGTCAGTTGCTTTTAAAATCTTATCTATCCATAGTTTTTCTCATCTAAAGTATCCATTGATTGTGTGTTTATAAAGTAAGGTTTCTGTTTTTAATTTTTTAAATCCTGGCCTTATTCTTTCCAGTTGATTCCTTCACTCATTCAACAAACAATTATTAAGTGCCTACTGTGTGTCGTGCTAGGTGCTGTGGATACAATGAACAGAGGAGTGTTCCCTGCCCTTAAGAAGCTCATGGCTGGGTGTGGTGGCTCACGCCTGTAATCCCAACACTTTGGGAGGCCGAGGCAGGTGGATCACCTGAGGTCAGGAGTTTGAGACCAGCCTGACCAACATGGCAAACCTCTGTCTCTACTAAAAATACAAAAATTAGCTGGGCTTGGTGGCAGGCACCTGTAACCCAGCTACTTGGGAGGCCGAGACAGGAGAATCACTTGAACACGGGAGGTGGAGTTTGCACTGAGTCAAGATTGCACCACTGCATTCCAGCCTGAGTGACACAGTGAGACTGTCTCAAAAAAAAAAAAAAAAAAAAAAAAAAAAAGAAGAAGCTGGTAACTGTGGGCCAGACAGATCTATCAGAAAATAAGAACACTGAAGCATTACCTGTGGAATGAGAGAAGGACACAGACCAATCGGCACAAACTGCAGGTCAGATGTAGCCCATTTAAGTGTTTGTTTGATTCAACAATGTCTTTAAAAAATTTAAACTGGTTTTCACAAATTAATCTTTATTTCTGACTTCTCTTAAAAAACTCAGAAGATCCAGCAACTCTGAGCCAGAGTTCCAGAATGGCAACAGTAGGCCAGAGCTGAGTCAGAACCAGCACTTTTAGCAGGAGGGAGGAAGCCCTGTGAATGGGGATGGGCTGCGAGTAGGGGAAGTGGTAGGGATGTCAGGCAGAGGGTATATTTTGATGGTAGTTCATGCTTAACTAACCAGCCAACCATATATAAACCCATGTGCATTCCCACACACCCATTCTTCTGCTTTGCCTATAACAATGTTCAATAAATGTCTGTGAAATGAATAAAAACATGATCAAAGAATTTTACTCCTGGAAGAGATAATTTTATAGGTCATTTAACCATCAGAAGTCTAAAGAGGTTGAGTAATTTGCCCGATGTAACACTAACATGAGTCTGCAGTGGTTAATAGATTGCACTAAAGGCTTGGGGGAACACAGGGGAATTATACAACACAGAACAGTCTAGTGGGCATCTGTCATTCTGCCTGCCTGACATCCTTTTCTCCTCTCTGAAAATAGCCCTCTTATTTTGCTTAGGAAGCTACCATTCCTTCTTTTTTCAGGTGGCCCTCGTGGAACTGAGTCCATCTGGCATCAGGAATGGCATGAGATCCAGGCCTGGTCAACCATACCCATCCACCTGGAGCTATTGGGAAAGAGGTATAATTTTTCCACGGGGGTCGCTGAGAAGAAAAGGTGTAAGTCTGAATGATGCTGTTGGTACCTAACCTAAGACTGCATGATGTAATTGAAAAGATGATAAGTTACATTACCTTGGGTAAATTGCTTAACTATTCTGAGCCTCGGTTACCACATCTGTAAACGGAAATAACAATATCTACTTCAAAGGGCTGTTGTCTGGCTGGAAAGAAATAATGTATGTAAAATGCCTGGCACACAGTAGGAGCTCATTAATGCTGGCATTCCTTCTTTCCCTTTCAGATAATGTCAGATGGATATAGCATTACTGTAATTAAAATGTAAGAAGTGCATTGGCAGACTTTCCTTACAACATATTGAGAACAGCTTTTTCAGTAGCTACCTTATGTGATTTCAGGGAATTGGGGAGGGAAAAGAAAATAAAATGCAGCTTGCTTTCCTGGAACAATTCAAGCCATACCCAATGCCTGCCAAGTGTAACCCATAAGTTTATGTCTGCATCCATCTATTATCTCACCTCTATATAGATAAAGTGGTTTTCCTCCCTGCCCACTAGCTATTGTATTTTTAAAATGGAAACTCTTTGAATCCCTGGCAATCATTTAGCTGACAGTTTGGATCATAACATAATAATAACATTAGGAGCAGTTGTATGACACTTCCTGCTTTGAAAGCATGTTACAAATCTGAGCTAATTAGCATGAATGCTAACATGCCAGCTTTTTATGGATTAATATTGCAATTATACTTTCCTTTTTCAATAAAAATACAGTGATCTTTTTTTTTTTTACTCAAAATGGGAGAAAACAAGAAATAAATAGGCAGCCTTCCCAATGGATTCAAACATAATGTAGTAGAAATATGAGACAGACCCTTTATTGACTGAATGTTCCTCTAACAACATCCATGAGGATTTACAGTATGACATCTCCTGTTAATTTTGTTTTAGGATCAACAAAGGAAATAGAATGTATTGATGGTGGCAGAAAAGGAACTTGTAAAACTGAAGACAAAGTTCCAACCTTTAAAATATACTTTCTACTTATTTCTAGATGAAGCACCTTGAACAAGTCAGAAAATTGTCCACTTATAATTTATTCTTAAACAAAATGAGAAAATACCAGCTCACATAATATTGCAAAATACCATATTCTTTCTGTTGTAGTATGAAAATATAATACAGTAAATGTAGAGTCAGAAAGACTTGGGTAGGAGTCCCAGCTCTGATAGTTACCAGCTGTGGTAACTCTCTGACTCTTGTTATCCTCACCTCTAAAATGGGGGCAATACTACTTACTTGGCAGGATTCCTGGGAGGTCCAAGGAAGATTCTGCCTTACACAATATCTGGGATAGGACAGGTGATCATATTAGCCCTGACCCTCCCTTTCTGTTTATAACTCTTCTTCCTCCTCTTCCAGTCTAAAATTATTCTGACATTAATTCAGTTTGCAGGAAAGCAGAGTACCATAAAGCATAAAAATGTTCTTTCCTATGTAAGTGTTATGTATTTTTAAATATACAATTCTCTTTTTAAGGGGACTAGGAATAAAAAGTTCATTTTGATGAGAAAAATGTATGATCATCTGAAAACGTTCCTTTTAACATAATGTTAAACTGTGGAGGTACCTCACTTGGATTTGGCATTTTGCCCTTGGTTCTGTGTACAAAATTAGTAAAAAGTGATGTGACTAGGTATAAAGTGGGAAGGTTGCCTGGAGCATACTTAAAAAGCCTATAGACAGGTATGTGGGGCAGGGAGATGAAGAGAGGTTGGTCAATAGGTACAAACATCCAGTTAGACAAAGGGAATAAACTCTAATGTTCAATATCAGAGTAGGTAGCTATAGTTAACAATAATGTATATTTCCAGTGTAATGGATTCATGCTATTAGTCATGGCCTTCTGGAACCATTTATTCAACGAATATTTATTGAGTGCCCACTATACAGCCAGCACTGCTGTGGACCGTAGGAATGAAGAAATAAACAAAACAAAGTCCATTCTTTCACAGAGTTTATCTTGTCATAGTATAGGTGGTCTGGCTAATGGGATGGAAAATATTAGAATCTTCCTCCACACTAGAACCAGAAATTTGTAACACTACAGCTTCCTACTCCTTGGACATTGCTTGGAAGTGCATTGACAGCATTTACCACTGTGAACTTAGACGTGTGAATTCATTTGGGCCTGAATGTCTTTCCATTTATTTGTTTACTTGGATAGCTCTGCTCTGATGAGGTGATCTCACCTTTTAACTCTGAAGACAATCTGTTGTTTTGTATTCACAAGTTCTGAGGGTCAACTCTCTACAGACCTAAGAGCCGAAAAATTGTTTATACACACACACACACACACACACACACACACACACACACACATGACAGTCTGGTGTGGGAAAAAATAACATTAGCTTTGAAATTGGCTTTGGTTTGAACTCTTGCTCCATTAATTCCTAGTTCTATGTCCTTTAGCAAGTTAGCAACCCCTCCCAACCCCTTTTTATTGCTTTAAAAAATAATAATAGAAGTAATATATTAATATGTTTTTATGTTTTGAAATTGGCTTTGGTTTGAATTCCTGCTCCATTGATTCCTAGTTCTATGTCCTTTAGCAAGTTAGCAACCCCTCCGAACCCCTTTTTATTGCTTTAAAAAATAACAATAGAAGTAATTAATATATTAATATGTTTTTATGGTTAACATTCAAACTTTGTTTTATTTTACTGATTGTATTAGTGTTTATACTACTTTTTTTTTTTTTTTTTTTGAGCTGGAGTCTCGCTCTGTCGCCCAGGCTGGAGTGCAGTGGCGCGATCTTGGCTCACTGCAAGCTCCGCCTCCCGAGTTCATGTCATTCTCCTGCCTCAGCCTCCCCAGTAGCTGGGACTACAGGCACCAGCCACCACGCCTAGCTAATTTTTTGTATTTTTAGTAGAGACAGGGTTTCACCCGGCTAGCCAGGATGGTCTCGATCTCCTGACCTTGTGATCCACCTGTCTCGGCCTCCCAAAGTGCTGAGAGTACAGGCATGAGCCACCGCACCTGGCTATACTACATATTTTTAACATATCACAATAATAGCTCATTTAAGTGATATTATATCACTACTTGTATAGTATACGAACTTTACAATATAGCATTGTAATTTCTTCCTTGCAATTTCTTCCTTCCTGGACCTCACATTACTGTTGCATATAGTCAAATTGTTCCTTGCTTTTAGAATCTTAACTGCCACAAAGCTCACATCAATATGAACAGTCCATATAAGTATATATATAATTTATGACATATATATGTTATAAATCTCACACTATGTTATTTATGTTTAAACAGTCAATTCTCTTTTAAAGAGATTTAAATATTAGGAAAAAAATCTTATATATGTACTCATGTAGTTACCTAATTCCCTATTCTCTTCTTTTATGTAGATCTAGATTTCCATCTCATAACATTTCCTTCTGCCTGAAAGATGTCCTTCAACATTTCTTGTAGTATAGGTAGATTGAGAATGAACTCTTTCAGATGTTGCATATCTTTAAAAAGCCCTTACTTTGTCTTCATTTTTGAAAGATATTTTTAATGAGGTATAGAATTCACATGTGGCTGATTTGTTTTTTCCTTTCAGTACTTTAAAGATGTTGCTTTACCCTCTTCTTGCTTCCATTCTCCTCAACATGAAATTTGCTGTCACTCTTATCTTTTTCCCTCTATAGGTAATGTGCCTTTTTTTCTTTCTTTCTTTCTTTTTTTTTTTTGAGACGGAGTCTGGCTCTGTCGCCCAGGCTGGAGTGCGGTGGCGTGATCTCAGCTCACTGCAACCTCCACCTCCCGGGTTCACGCCATTCTCCTGCCTCAGCCTCCCGAGTAGCTGGGACTACAGGCACGCACCACCACGCCTGGGTAATTTTTGTATTTTCAGTAGAGACGGAGTTTTACCACGTTGGCCAGGATGGTCTCAATCTCTTGACCTCGTGGTCCGCCTGCCTCGGCCTCCCAAAGTGCTGGGATTACCGGCGTGAGCCACCGCTCCTGGCTACCTTTTTTCCTCTGGTAAGGTTTTCTCTTTGTTACTGGTTTTGAGAATTTGATTATGATAGGCCATAGTATGGTTTTCTTTCTTCATTTTTATTTTTTTCCTGCTTGGGGTTCCTTGAGTTTTCAGGATCTGTGAGTTTGTAGTTTTCTTCAAATTTGAAAATTTTTTTAGTCATTTCTTTAAACATTTTTCCTGACCTCCCCACCCTCTGCTTTTCAGAGACTCCAATTGCATATATACGAGGAAGCCTGAATTTATCCTATAGCTCAGAGATTCTCTGTTTATTTTTAATATTATTTATTTCTCCATGTGTTTAATTTTGGATTGTTAATTTTGTTACGTGTTCAAGTTCACGAATCCTTTCTTCCACAACCTCTACTCTGCCATTAGTCCCATCCAGTGTATTTTCATCTCAGGCATTGTAGTTTTCATCTCTAGAAGAACAATTTCATTATTTTTGTATTTTCCATGTCTCTATTTAACTTTTTGAACATATAGAACACAGTTATAGTAAGTATTTTAGGCCGGGCAAGGTGGCTTATGCCTGTAATCCTAGCACTTTGGGAGTCTGAGGTGGGTGGATCACCTGAGGTCAGGAGTTCAAGACCAGCCTGGCCAACACAGTGAAACCCCATCTCTACTAAAAATAGAAAACTTAGCTGGGTGTGGTGGCAGGCACCTATAATCCCAGCCACTCGGGAGGCTGAGGTAGGAGAATCGCTTGAACCTCAGAATCAGAGGTTGCAGTGAGCCAAGATCACGCCACTGCACTCCAGCCTGGGCGACAGAGTGAGACTCCATCTAAAAAAAAAAAAAAAAAAAAAAAAAAAACTGTCTTAATGTCCCAGTGTAGTAATTCTAACATCTGTGCCACTACTGGGTGGGTTTCAGTGGATTTTTTTCCCCTCATTATGGGTCGTATTTTCCTACTTCTTTGCATGCCTGGTAATGGGATGCCAGGCATTGTGAATTTTACCTTGTTTAGTGCTAGCTATTTTTGTATCCCTATAAATATCCTTGTACTTTTAGGAGAAAAGGGGTATGCAGTGAAGTTACCAGGAAACAATTTGATCCTTTTAGGTCTTGTCCTTAAGATTTGTTAGGCAGTGGCAGAACAGTGCTTCACCCAGAGCTAAGCATTCTCCACTACTTGGGCAATACCTTTGTGAATCCAACATATCTGTCTCAATCAATTTAGAAAACTTATATTGCTGAGTTTAAGGACGCACCCGTGACACAGCCTCAGGATGTCCTGACAACATGTGCCCAAGGTGGTTGGGGTATAGCTTGCTTTTATACATTCAGGGAGATATGAGACATCAATCAATATGTGTCTGGAAGTTGTGACAGCCATGGTGGGGGAGGGGTCTTCCAGGTCTTAGGTAGATAAGAAACAAAAGGTTGCATTCTTTTGAATGAGCTCAATTCCCACTTTTAAATTAGCTCAGCCTTTCACTGAATACACAATTTAGACTGGCTCAATGAATCTGCATTTTTACATAGACTGGCTCAGTGAATCTGCATTTTTACATTAACAATAGGGCAGAGGAAGCAATCAGATATACCTTTGTCTCAGGTGAGCAGAGGGTGACTTTCTGTCCCACCTATGAAGATGAGCTATCAATTTACATTGCCAGGGTGAAATTCAACAGAACTGTTTTGGGTAAAGATCTTGAGGTCCACAAGGAATTTCCTTGTGCGCAAATTGTGAAGGAGATATGTAGCTTTTTTTTTTTTTTTTAATCTTTGCAGCTATCTTATTTAGGAATAAAGTGGGAGGCAGGTTTGCCTGACATAGTTCCCAGCTGGACTTTTTCCTGGGCTTAGTGATTTTGGGGTCCCGAGGTTTATTTTCCTTTCACACCCTTCAGATTGTCTACCTGAATCATGAGGTTTTTTCAGTCTGGCCAGTGGGAGCAGACACTATTCCTGGCTCTGTGTGAGTGCCCAGCATTGCACTATGCCCTCTAGTATTTTTCCATTGCTTCTTTCTTTAAGTTAGAAACAGGGGTTTTTATTTTGTATTTCCCACGGTCTAAAGTGGTACTTGTCTGACGCATCCATGTGAAGAGACCACCAAACAGACTTTGTGTCAGCAACAAGGCTGTTTATTTCATCTGGGTGCAGGCGGGCTGAGTCTGAAAAGAGAGTCAGCAAAGGGTGGTGGGATTATCATTAGTTCTTTTAGGTTTTGGGATAGGCGGTGGAGTTAAGAGCAATGTTTTGGGGGCAGGGGTTGGATCTCACAAAGTACATTTTCAAGGGTGGGGAGAATTACAAAGAACCTTCTTAAGGGTGGGGGAGATTATAAAGAACCTTCTTAACGGTGGGGGAGATTACAAAGTACGTTGATCAATTGGGGTAGAAATAAATCACAATGGTGGAATGTCATCAGTTAAGGCTATTTTCACTTCTTTTGTGGCTCTTCGGTTGCTTCAGGCCATCTGGATATATGCGTGCAGGTCACAGGGGATATGATAGCTTAGCTTGGGCTCAGAGGCCTGACAGTACTTTCAAATTTTGACTGACCCACGTTTTCCTCAGAAGTACAGTAAAGGAGAGGGTTCATCCTGGGCTAAGTGCCCCTCTTCGGAGATCCCACAGCAGTTTGTAGGTTCTCTATCATGAAGCTTATTATTATGATTATTACTCTTTTAGCACACATCTGTAGCAGACGTGGAGCTACATGGACACGTAGACGTGCAGACATGGACATGGAGCTTGTTACATTGTTGTGAAATTGCCTTTTTTTTTTTTTTTTTGAGATGGCGTCTCGCTCTGTCGCCCAGGCTAGAGTGCAATGGCGTGATCTTGGCTCACTGCAACCTCCGCCTCCCGGGTTCAAGCGATTCTCCTGCCTCAGCCTCCCGAGTAGCTGGGACTACAGGCACCCGCCACCACGCCCAGCTAATTTTTATACTTTTAATAGAGACAGGGTTTCACCATGTTGGCCAGGATGGTCTTGATCTCTTGACCTCGTGATCTGCCCGCCTCGGCCTCCCAAAGTGTTGGGATTATAGGCGTGAGCCACCGCGCCCGGCCCTTTTTTTTTTTTTTTTTTTTTTTTTTTTTTTAAGACAGGGTCTCACTCTTGCCTGTGCTAGAGAGCTTTACTTCTCAGGCTCAAGTGATCTTCCTACCTCAGCCTTCCCACACCCCACCCTGAGTAGCTGGGACTACTAGCATGCACCACTGCACCCGGCTAATTGTTTCATTTGATTTTTTTATAGAAACAGGTGTCACTATGCTGCTCGGGATGGTCTTAAACTCCTGGGCTCAAGCAATCCTCCCACCTCAGCCTTCCAAAGTGTTGAGATTGTAGGAATAAGCCACAGTGCCTGGCCTGAAATTGCACATTTGATTGATTTTATGAGGGCAGACACTGAGTCAATCTCATTCAATGCATCAGTACCAAGCACAGTAGGAATGCTACAAGTTTCATGAAACACTAATTCTGAATTATTCATTCTGCTTTCAAACTACTTGGTGAGAAATGAGTCTTTCAACAAGTCCTAGGGTTGCAGGATTAGAGGGAATTTTAAATAGTAGACCAGGCCTCTGGAGTTCATCTGCATGTGAGCTCATAGCTCTATCCTGTTGGAAGGAGTTAGACCTAGACCCTTAACGAGCCAGTTTCACATAAAGCCAGTGGACCCAGTGCAGGGTGTGGGGTGTGTACGGGAAAGCTTTATGCTAGTGTCTCTGTTCAGGGGGGTTTTGAGACGAATTGGGCAACTCTGAATTCTGTACAGGCCTTTCCTTCCACATATATTTTAATGCCTACTGATATCTGGCACTGGACCAGAAACATTTTTGCGTCTGCATTGCCAGAGATGCTGTTCACATGGTATTCTGCATTATGCTCTAGAAAGCACCATTCTCATTTGATATCATGTATATCCAGACAGCCCTGCCAGGGTCCCCATCCCTGCCTGCTATGTAAAATCAGTGAAAAGCATACCATTTTACATTTGTTTTGATGATTTAGCCCATTACATCTTTTTTTTTTTTTTTTGAGACGGATTCTGGCTCTGTCGCCCAGGCTGGAGTGTGGTGGCGCGATCTCCGTTCACTGCAAGCTCCGCCTCCTGGGTTCGCGCCATTCTCCTGCCTCAGCCTCCCGAGTACCTGGGACTACAGGTGCCCACCAACACGCCCAGCTAATCTTTTGTATTTTTAGTACAGACGGGGTTTCACCGTGTTAGCCAGGATGGTCTCAATCTCCTGACCTGGTAATCCACCCGCCTTGGCCTCCCAAAGTGCTGGGATTACAGGTGTGAGCCACCGCGCCCGGCCAGCCCATTACATCTTTTTAAGAAACCCTAATTTTGCTCTAAATTAAATTCAACAGACATCTTTAAGTGCCTACTCTGTTCCAGGCATGGTGTTACCAGTGGGACTGGTTACTGGATAAGCCCACTGACAACAGAAGCAGCACTCCCATGGTGGCCTGAGAATGGGCCCTAGCAGTGTTTGGTTTCTGAACTGGGCTCTCCCTCTTTGCAATTCTTTCTCTCCATCTTTTGCCATCATATTCAGAGTGCAGCCTGAGAACAAAGGTGAGATGGGACAAATTGGGAATAGTGTGAGAAGTGAGGTCATTTAATTAATTAATTAATTCATTCATTCCTCTGTTCAATAGTTATTGAGCACCTGCTATGTGTCACTATGCTGAATATTGGTAGTGTAAGGACTAGCAGACGTGGTCTTTGTCCTTAAGGAATTCACAGTCCAGTGCAGAAGGCAGACGGATGAAAAATTACAAGGTGTGAGTGATAGCTGCTAAGGCAGGGGAATGCAGAAGGGTTTTTTTTTCTTTTCTTTTTTTTTGAGATGGAATCCCGCTCTGTCACCCAGGCTGGAATGCAATGGCGTGATCTCGGCTCACTGCAACCTCTGCCTCCTGGGTTCAAGCGATTCTTGTGCCTCAGCCTCCTGAGTAGCTGGGACTACAGTTGCCCACCACTACGCCCAGCTAATTTTTGTATTTTTAGTAGAAACGGGGTTTCACCATGTTGGTCAGGCTGGTCTCGAACTCCTGACCTTGTGATCCGCCCTCCCTGGCCTCCCAAAGTGCTGGGATTACAGGTGTGAGCCACCGCATCTGGCTGTCAGTATCTAATTTCTTGAGAAACTATAAACTAGACAGAAGTGGTGTTTATCCTCCAATTTCTAACAACATGATTGTTACATGGTGAGCACTCAGTAGAGGGTCAACAAAGCCTGGATTCTACTCCTGGCTCTGTCTTTGAAGCTACCTGTCCTTGGACAGTCATTTCAGCTCTCCAGGCCTCAGTTACCTCACCTGTAAAGTATAACTGGTGATATTAGCTCTGCCTACCTCACTGGGACACTGTAAGGATTAATGGTCATGAGCGTGATTTTTAAATTGCAAAGACGTCTACAAAATAAATTACACAATCATAAGTTATATTCTTAAATATTTGTTGAATTTTAAAATAAAAGTTGTTCAGCACTTAGGTGAAATGCTGAACGACTTCACATAAGTGCTGCACGACCCTTTTCTTTAAAAAACAAAGAGAGAGACTTAAATAACCAGCAGGTATGCAACCTTCAGTTCACAAAGCGGGTCTAGCTTGACTTTTTCATCAGTCCAGAAAGATACTGCTGTTATCCCCATTTTATCAGTGAGAGCAGTGAGGTCCCAAAGAATGTGTGCAAGAACAGAAGCTCTTAGAAGCTCAGGAGGGCCCGGGCGCGGTGGCTCACGCCTGTAATCTCAGAGCTTTGGGAGGCCGAGGCGGGCGGATCACCTGAGGTCGGGAGGTCGGGAGTTCGAGACCAGCTGGGCAACATGGTGAAACCCTGTATCTACTAAAAATACAAAAATTAGCCGGGCGTGGTGGCGCATGCCTGTAATCCCAGCTACTTGGGAGGCTGAGGCAGGAGAATCGCTTGAACCCGGGAGGTGGAGGTTGCAGTGAGCTGAGATACGCGCCATTGCACCCAAGCCTGGGCAACAAGAGTGAAACTCCCTCTCAAAAAAAAAAAGCTCAGGCGTGGGCCACTTCCCAAGGTCTCTACATGTCAACAAGTTAGAAAGGACCAAGCCCCAGGCCTCTGGGGGCGCCTTTGCTCTGGAAACCCCGCCTCCCGGCACGGGAGGGGCCGGACGACGCTTCAATCCCGCCCCGTGACGCGTTAGGCCCTGCCCCCGGGCCATCTTCGTCTCGCGGGATCTCTCGGGAGGACGGACGGGGTCAGGTCCCATCATGGCGGCTGAAGAGGCGGATGTGGATATCGAAGGGGACGTGGTAGCGGCGGCGGGGGCACAGCCAGGGTGAGGCTTAGAGACCGGGTCTCTCTGGGGCGGAGAGGGGAGTGGATTGAAGGAGCGGGCCCTGGGAAAGCTGCAGGTCCGGCAAGGGAAAAGGGAACAGAAGACTGTCCCCTGGGCCAGGGTCTCTTGTTGGCCTGGGAGGCACCTCGCCCGCCGGCTTGTCCCAAGCCCAGCGGGCAGGGCGGTTACCTGGAGCTCAGGTACTCCTGGGTCGCTTTCACCTTTTGCCGGATGCTGTGAGGGCACCGATTTCGCCTACCACATTGCGTTTGATTTACATTTAGATTCCTTCTTCCGTTCCCTCCTTTTCAGGATCTCATCGACAGTAACTAGAACAAGAGCGGCTACGGACGAGACCTGAGGTCAGGGACTCTTGTTCTATGGCTTGCTAGCCGTGTGACCTTGGGCGAGTCGTTTCATCCCTTCTTCCACATGGGGATAGTTGTAAAACTTCCCGAGAAGCAGGTTGACTTAAATGGGCCAGGTTTTAGAGTTGGACAGTTCTGGGTTTTCCTTCTGCATTTGCTCGCCCTACCAGTTAATAGCAATGTGACCTTGGGCAAGACACTTAACTTGTCTGAGCCTCAGACTGCTCATATTTAAACTGGGAGTCATGATATGTAATTGGGAGGATCAAATGAAATGATTATGAGATATGCTTTAGCATACGGTAGGTGCCCTCTGAATGTATTCTTTACCATCCTGTTACCCTCGGGGACAGTACTGTGAGAATCCAGTAAGGGATCACATTTTTTAAAATACCTGTTCCAGCAGAACAAACAGCCCAGTGTGATTTGACACAGAACCTCCTTTGACTCCTTGCTTTCTGAATCAAAAATGAGTCTCCTTTTAGTCATGAAGAGTCCTAGACTAGCCAGGAATCAGAAAGCCTGAGTTCTAAAGTCAGCCAGCTATGTTGTTTATAATTATGTACAATTTCCTTAGAACTGTATTAGCTTGAACCATATGAAATTGCCAATATTTAGACCATTTTTGTTCTATAAAGCGGCAACTTCATGTAGTTCAGCCTAATATTAGGGCCTCTGTGAACAGGGGAGAAGTACTAACCCAGCGCTTGAGGCACTAAGATAGTGTGTTTAGAAGTGTATCATGAACTCTAAAGCCCTATAAAGACGTGAGGGGTGATTAAACTCATATGGTCATTGTCCCTCAAAGCTTTGCAGATGAGTAGGGAGCCCTTAATAACAATACTTGTTGACATTCATTTAGTGTTTAAATCTTGACCAAGTGCTTTTGCATGTTTGATTTAATTTACTTTTCGCAACAAGTTAATGAAATAGGTTGGCAGGGATACTTATCTGCAGTCTAGAAAGAAATGAGCTGGCCTTGGAAACACTGAAGATTGGTCACCTGAGGGCATTGGCTGTATGCTTCTTCCATAGATTTATCTTTCTGATTGTGTTTCATTTTTCCCCTTTTCTCTTTCTTCCTATTTTAGTTGAGGCCTAGGTCTACTGGTGGCACTTGTGGTAACAAGCAGGATTACAAAGGTTATTGGTTCCTGATGATGGTTACAATTATTGTCTTATACAACCCCAAGGAGTATCATTAATATTATATTCTGGGCCAGGCATGGTGGCTCACGCCTGTAATCCCAGCACTTTGGGAGACCGAGGCGGGCAGATCACGAGGTCAGGAGATCGAGACCATCCTGGCTAACACGGTGAAACCCCATCTCTACTAAAAATACAAAAAATTAGCTGGGCGTGGTGGTGGGCGCCTGTAGTCCCAGGTACTTGGGAGGCTGAGGCAGGAGAATGGCGTGAACCCGGGAGGCAGAGCTTGCAGTGAGCGGAGATCACGCCACCGCACTCCAGCCTGGGCAACAGAGCGAGACTCTGTCTCAAAAAAAAAAAAAAAATATATATATATATATATAGTCTGATAAATAGTGTCCAGTGGTGTTGGAGCTCCAACCGTATGGAATTTAGTGTGATGGTACTCTCTGAAGTATGTAGTTACAGTTGATATTATAGCATCTGTGAAACCGTTGAGAATTAATTTAATAGACACTTTTAAGCACTTGGTAAGTGCTAGATGTCAAAGTTAGAAGATGGTATTGAAACTTTTGGGTTGGCTGGGTGCGGTGGCTCATGCCTGTAATCCCAGCACTTTGGGAGGCCAAGGCGGGCGGATCACCTGAGGTTGGGAGTTCGAGATCAGCCTGACCAACATGGAGAAACCCCGTCTCTACTAAAAATACAAACTTAGCCAGGCATGGTGGCACCTGCCTGTAATTGCAGCTACTAGGGAGGCTGAGGCAGGAGAATTGCTTGACCCTGGGAGGTGAAGGTTGCAGTGAGCCGAGATCGCGCCATTGCCCTCTAGCCTGGGCAACAAGAGCAAAACGCCATCTCAAAAAAAAAAAAAAATTTTTTTTTGGTTTCTCTTCTACTTCTACCATTCTGTCTCATTCTCCTTTTCTTATGTTCTTTACTCCTAGTGTTGCAAGGAGTTTTCTCATTGGACTTTGATTCACTGACCACACTGTCCCTCTTAAGACTTCAACTTCTCTTTGTTAGGTTGAACCATATGAAATTTTACCAGTGTTAAACCATTTTTGACCTGCCAGCTGATGTTTCCCGAATCTGTTACCAACCCAGATCTCTCTCTTAAGTGACAGATCCATTTATCCAGTTCTCTGAATCTATCTGTACCTGGATGTCTCACAAGCACCTCAGTTTCACCTTATAAATTTTCCCCACCAGATCTCTTCACTGTACCCTAGTTTAGTAAATGGCACCTACACACACCCAGTCACCCAAAGCACAGACCTAAACTTCATCATTCCTTACCTCCCTCCTTCTACTCCTCTACCCTATCAGTTATTTAGGGCTGTTGATTCTGTCTAAATATCTTCTCAACTGTATTCACTTCTTCCTGTTCACATTGTCCTGTAGCTATAAGTTATTGTCACCTTTCTCTAGTATTTTTAAAATCTCTCCCTCTTAACTGCTCCTCGTCTCCTTGGCCCCATTCTGTTCTAGTCTGAAGTCAGAGTAATCTTTCTTATATCCAGATCTGATCATATTATTCTCTTCACTCCCCAGTTGGTTTTTTGATAAAATCCTCATTCTTTAACTACCAGAGATCTGAGTGATCCACGCCCTACCTACCTTGTTCATTTAGTCCAACAAATTTTTATTGAGTACCTTCTACATGCCATGCACTGATATACAACAGTGTATCAAAACCAAGTCTGTGCTCTCATAGAACATTCTTGTTAGATAACATAGACAGCAATCCTATATATATGTCAGATGGAGATGGGTGGAGAAAGATAAAGGAGGGGAGGTGAATGGTTTGTCAGCTTTATCTTTTACATTTATCCAGGAAAATTATATAAGATTGGAAACTACAGGACCTCAGAGGTAGTATGAAAATACTGGAAGGACTGGATTTGGAAAATGGGAGAAACAGCAGAATTAGGGCAGATTAAATGGGGGTTGTGAAGAAAATGGTCAGGCTTGGATTTCTGGCTTGGATAACTACGGAGATGGTGGTGCCACTGAGTGAGATGGTGAACAATAGAAGAGTAGCAGATTTGGGAGGAAAGGTGATTTCAAGCTTTAAACATGCTAATATGTGGTACCTATGGAGATTCAGGTAGAGATCCAGAAGTAGCTACCAGAGTATGAGTGTTGCTGATTCTTCTTATTGAGGAATAAAAAGATTTCTACAGTGAATTTGAAATGATAGTGGTTCTATTTTCTGAACTCTTGGCAGACCTAGTTACTTGAGCAAAGGTTTCTTTGAGCTGATAAAAGTCTCAGAATCCTTTATTTACCCTTCCTGGTAGCCTCTTCCAGATCATAGTTGACATTTAAGATTAAATCTATTTACCATCAACAGTTGAGAGAAATGATTGCTTTTAGAGAATAGTTCATTAGCCCCACAATTTATTATAACTACTGCCTAATTAAAGATTCAGATTTATAAGCCTGTTGAAAGGTTTTTGCAGTCTTAGAGATGGAAAATTCTTATCACTAGACAAGGTCTAGAAAAAGTCAATAACGAAGCAAAATATTAAATTTATATCATGGATTGAGCCCCCCAAAACTTACTCAGCCTTTTCAAATATGGGGTAAACAATGTAACTTTAAAGAGCTCTTAGGAGCTTAATGAAACGAGTGAGATAATTTAAAAAGTTTGATCTCCCATGGACATTGAAAAGCGTCCAAATCAAATTAATTTTTTAAATTATATGAGTTGTTATTAAAACCACATTTTTCTTATCTATTCACTGTACTGTCCTTCTTTGAGTATTTTCTGTTTTGGTTCTCTCATCTAGTTTTTTTTTTTTCTTTCATTTTATAGGTGGTGCTATTGATGGTGGTTTTTATAATTTAGATACAGCTAAAAGGTTTAATCACAAAGTTGAATTCCTGTATACACATGGGTACTGGTACTAATCAGCTGAAACTGCATTGTTGGTTCAAGTCACAGAGCATGTTGTGATTGCTGCTTTGGGGTATTGTTTTCCTCATGAGATTGTTTATTCTCGAGAACCAAAAGAAGTGAGCAGTCAGACTTGATGTTTCACAATTGAGATGGGGTAGCTTAGCACTACCACGTGTTTCACAGGCCAAAGAGGTAGAGCAGGCATTTCCACAATGTTAAATCTGTTTGTTAAGGGGAGAAGGGAACTAAGTATTTGCTTAGTTCCCTTACTACCTGCTGGATTCTGTGCTGTGTAAGTTACATTCATTAACTAATATGATTTTCACTTATATACTCATTTTCTTAATTATTACAGAAGTGGTGAAAATACAGCATCAGTTTTACAAAAAGATCACTATCTTGATTCATCTTGGAGAACAGAGAATGGCCTTATTGTAAGTATTTTATAAAAATATCAGGTGCATTAAGCTGTTATTTATTGCCTAGAGTGCTTCTTCTTTTTTTTTTTTTAAACTTAGTGCTAGTTCTCAACTATCACAGATATAATATTTTTCTTTTTTAGAAATTTAGAATTTTTTTTTACTTTAAAAATAGAAACCTCTTTCTTTTGACATTGAAAAATGGCCTGTTGAGAAACAGGTTTGGAGCCAGCTAGATTTAGGTACAGGTCTTTGCTCTACCACTTCTCAAATTTGTGAACTTCAGTTTCTTTACACCTAAAAAAGTGGTAGGTGGGCAAGGTGGCTCCTGCCTATAATCCCAGTGCTTTGAGAAGCCAAGGCAGGAGAATTCCTTGAGCCCAGGAGTTTGAGATTGCAGTGAGCTCTGATTGTGCCACTGCTCTCCAACCTGGGCAACAGAATGAGACCCGGTCTCAAAGAGAAAAAAAAAATGGGATTGTCACAGGGCTTATTTCTTCATGTAGTAGTTACTTTTTTTTTTTTTGAGATGCAGTCTCTTTGTCGCCAGGCTGAACTGCAGTTTCGTGATCTCGGCTCACTGCAACCTCTGCCTCCCACATTCAAGTGATTCTCCTGCCTCAGTCTCCCGAGTAGCTGGGACTACAGGCGTGTGCCACCCCGCCCAGCTAATTTTTGTATTTTTCATAGAGGCGGGGTTTCACCATGTTGGCCAAGCTGACCTTGATCTCTTGACCTCGTGATCCGCCCGCCTCAGCCTCCCAAAGTGGTGGGATTACAGGCGTGAGCCACCGCGCCCGGCCATGTAGTAGTTACTTATTGAGTACTTACTCGGTGCCAGTCAGTAGGTCAGGCTTGGAGAATACGACTACAATGAAGACAGACGTGTTCCTGCTCTCAAGAAGTTTATTTTCTAAGAGGGAGTTAAGTAATAAACAGGTAGACAAACTAATAATAGATTTTGAAGGAAATAAGCAAGATGCTGAATGAGAGTACCAGAGTGGGAAACCTAGTTTAGATTAAATTGTCAGTGAGGGAATCTCAGAGGAGGTGAGATTTAAGTTGAAAATGATGGGAAAAAGGGTAGATATGTGAACAGTTAAAATAAAATTATAGGCAGAAGGAACAGCAACTACAGAAGCTCTGGTTGAAGGCCAGTGTCTAGAATATGGTGGGAAAGGAAGGAGTGGCAGCATGTGGCAAGGTTGGAGAGGCAGGCTAGAGTTCTGTCATGCAGGACTTATGAGTCGGATTATGCTAAAGGGTTTACATTTTGTTTTAAAGGAACTGGGACATCATTGAAACATTTCATATAGATTTAATAGAGATTAGCAAATTTATTTTTATAAAATTAATTTTGGGTACTGTGGTAAAGATTGGAGGGAAGTAAGAGTGGAGTTAAAGGGACCAGTTAGGAAACATTCACGGTAATGGAAGCAAGATTTGATGATTGGGACTTGGCCTGAGGTAGTAGCAGAAGAGATAGAGTAGATAGATTTGAATTATATTTTGGAGGTAGAACTGGTTGATAGATTGGATATGGGCATCAAAGGAAAAGGAAAGAATCCACAATGATTCCTGAATTTCTACATGGAATAACTTAGTGAGTAATAGTGCCTTTCGTAGAGTTGGGAATGCAGAGGGAGAAGCAGGTGGAGATAAGTGATGGTGAGTTCTGTTTTAGATATGTTAAGTTCTAGAAGCCAATTAGATATCCAAGTAGAAATCTCGGATGGGCTGTTGGGTATTATGGCCTAGAGCTTGAAGAAGAGATATGAGCTGAAAATACTTAACTTGGAGCGTTGAAAATGAGTAGGATCATGGAGATTGTAACTGAGGAAAAAGGAGAGTTAGTGGTGAGTTTTGGAAAGAGGTTAAGTGTCTGACAGAGTGTCTGATGCCTAACAAATGATTCCTTTTTTGAATGGCGATTATTACCTCATCCTGGGCAGGAGCATGAGCCTGGGAATCCAACAGACTCAGGTGTAAAGTCTCTGCTCTTCCACTTAAAATGCTAGTAGTGCTGTGGTTGCTTCTGTAAAGTATTAATGCCTATCTCAATGTTACTGTGGTAATCAAAAATATGTCTGTGTGCTCAGTAAATGGTGACTGTCATTTATAATCATTATAACATGTATTTTTCTTTACCAAAACAGAAGATAATTTCAAAAAGCAATAAATAAAAAGACAAATATATTCTCTTTTTTAATAGCCTTGGACCTTGGATAACACCATCAGTGAAGAGAACAGAGCTGTTATTGAGAAAATGTTGTTGGAAGAAGAGTATCCTTTAATGATTATGAGGAAAGTACAGGTTTCAGGGTGAAAAAAATCTATAAATGCAAAATTTACAAGAGGCCACTGTTTACTAGATGGATTTTATACAGCACCAGACTGCTATTATATAATTTCATGTTACCTATGTATGCAAAAAGCAGCATTTTCTTCCTCAGGTTCTGTTTTACTGTAACATCTGAGATCTGATTGCATATTTTGAGTTTCTGTCACTAGCCAACTGTTTATGATATCTGAATATTGAGTAGAAATGATAGAATATTTAAGTCATTTTGAACCTTAAGTCCAAGCTTGCATTTTTAAGTTATATAAGCTGAAACCCAGAGATGTTAATTTTCCAAGGGCACAGAGTTGGAACATGTAAAAGTTCTTCTCACTTCATAATTTACAGGTGTTACGTGGGAGGAATCTAAATAAAAAGCACAAAACAAATACTATAGAATGAAGATGTTTTCCCTACATTTGTGGATCCTTATTTATAGCTCAGTTTTCGTACATGTAAAAGGAGAGGATTGAATGAAATGATTTCTGATTTTATGATTTATAAAGATAGCTAGTCATAGTCTAATAAGTAGTGGTTTATTAATCTCCTTCATCTTCATTTTATGGATTTCTCCTTACTAAGCCAGAATTTCTCTGTTCCCACTATTTCCACTTATTGCCATGTTGATTTTAGAGTGTCTCTGTACCTTTAATTATCATAGGTTAACCCCATTTAGGCTTTCTTATTCTCTAATTCTCCCCAGACATTGCAGTTATAGCCTAGATTATTGCTATTCAGAGAAAGTCACATATAATTTAAAATTTTCCGATATCCTCATTTAACACAAAGGAAATTAATTTTAACTATATATTATATAACCTAAAATATTTAAAATATTCTCATTTTAACATTTAATCAAGATAAAAACATTAATGAGATAATTTTACATTTTTGTACTAAGTCTTTGAAATCCACTGTGTTTTGTTTTGTTTGTTTTTTGAGACGGAATCTCGCCTTGTCACCCAGGCTGGAGTGCAATGGTGCGATCTTGGCTCACTGCAACCTCTGCCTCCCTGGTTCAAGCGATTCTCCTGCCTCAGCCTCCTGAGTAGCTGGGATTATGGGCGCACACCACCACACCTGGCTGATTTTTTGTATCTTTAGTAGAGATGGGGTTTCACCATGTTGGCCAGGCTGGTCTTGAACTCCTGACCTCGGGATCTACCTGCTTCGGCCTCCCAAAGTGCTGGGATTACAGGTGTGAGCCACTGCGCCCGGCCAAAATCCACTGTGTTTTATACTTAGAGTACATCCTAGTTCATGCAAATAGTGTTTCCACTGGTCAGAAACCAGCGATGCACATGTGGTTGGTGGCCACTGTCTAGATAAAACACTTAAGTAGTCAGTGGTTCACTTCTAGATATGGAAACAAATAATGAGAGTATCTTTGTTCTCAGCATCTATACCTAGCATAGTACCTGACATATGCAGTAGATAGCCAATAAATACTTGTTAAGTGAAGAATATCTCAGGCTAATCTTAAAGTACTTCATCAGGCTAGTTTTTTGTTTTTGTTTTTTTTTTTTGAGACGGAGTCTCGCTCTGTCGCCCAGGCTGGAGTGCAGTGGCTCAAACTTGGCTCACTGCAAGCTCCGCCTTCCAGGTTCACTCCATTCTCCTGCCTCAGCCTTCTGAGTAGCTGGGACTACAGGCGCCCGCCACCACGCCTGGCTAATTTTTTCTGTTTTTTAGTAGAGATGGGGTTTCACCGTGTTAGCCAGGATGGTCTCGATCTCCTAACCTTGTGATCCGCCTGCCTCGGCCTTCCAAAGTGCTGGGATTACAGGTGTGAGCCACCGCGCCTGGCCTCATCAGGCTAGTTCTAATAACTTTAAGAGGGAAGTTCTCTGGTAGATTTGATCTAAATGTTTGCAATTTTTATTAAGGTAGAGAAGATCCTTGGATTCTTCTCTGTTGGCTTTAGAAATGTGGAAAATTATTCCCGAATTGCCTTGGACAACCAACCAAGTTTACCTATTACATTCTCCATATGTTTTGGAAGAAAATATTTAAACCAGGGTGTCCAGTCTTTTGGCTTCCCTGGGCCACACTGGAAGAAGAATTTTCTTGGGCCCCACATAAAATACACTAATGATAGCTGATGAGCCAAAAAAAAAAAAAAAAATCACAAAATAATCTCATGGTGTTTTAAGAAAGTTTACGAATTTGTGTTGGGCCACATTTGAAGCCGTCCTGGGCCACATGTAGCCTGCAGGCAGAGGATTGGACAAGCTTGATTTAAACATGGAGGCTGTTTCTTGTAGTCACTTCTAATTGGGAAGACAAGGGAACTATTAATAACATTTATGTAGCACACGTTTTGTATAAGTAATGTAAAAATTACATGACTGTAATATTGTTTAAAAAGTTTCCTTGATAGTTACACAGATATTATTTATCTAAAAAATCACAACCGGAAAAAGTCTGGCTTGATCAAAAGGAAGATGATAAAAAATACATGAAGAGGTAAAATCAATTTATAATATTTCTAAAAGTCTGGATTGTAGTTTTAGAAACCTCACACGCTTCCTTATTTTCTTTTTTCATGTGATGCAGTCTGCAGAAAACAGCAAAAATCATGTATGTACTTATATTTTATATTTATAAATCTGTTTTCATTAGTTAAAAATTATGGAATAATTTTTTTTTAATTATAGTTGGCCTGTGGAAAAGCCCTCTTGACCTTAAAGTAGATATAAAAACAGTTTTTTTAATAAAGATGTTGGAGTGGCACAAGTATAATTTTATGGTGTTATTTACTTGCCAGAATTTCTTTCATGGCCCTATGTAGGCAATTCTTTCAGATTGTGAAAAATATGGTTGTCCAGGGGTTTATGGGGAAATTTTGAGAAGCTGTTATGTGATATATTGGAATTGACTTGATTTCTTTTACTCTGTCAGTTAATTTTCACTTATTTTCAACAAAATTTTCATTTGGATTTGTGGCTTTCAAAAATTATCTGGAGAAATTAACTATTTTAAAAATATCCTTTCCCTATAATTGAAAAAACATTATTTAGCATTTATGACTTTGGAAGTTTATGGTCCTTTAAAGGGTGGTTTACGTATTTGCAATTGCCCAAGAGGTTGAGTACTGAGCAGCCTTTTGCTTTTGTATTTTGCTGAATAAACAATGAAATGAAGTTAACAAAAGGATTAATGGGTTGCTTAAATTAGTGAGCTTCATCAGTTTTATTTTTAATTCCTTGAGATAATGAATTTTAAAAGCAATAAATACAATGCTGTAGTTTTTGACTTCTTTTCTAAATATTTACATGGATTTACATGAAAGAACTAAAGAGATAGTATTTGTGGAACCAATTTAAACTCTTACATGCCTTTCAGGATTTGGGAATGTATTAACACCTGCTGCTTTGTATCCAGTCTAAGGGAGCCTATTTGTTTGTTATCACATTGACTTCCTTTGATGTCTTTTAGTGTTACCCTCACTCAGACCCAAGGATTATGTCTTTTGGGGCTCCCATCATCCTGAGCTAGAGACACGTGACAGGGTAAATCTCTGCCCCCAGGTAGAGGCTGTAGCCTTCTTGTTTTGTTTGTTTGTTTATTTTTAATTCCTAGACTCAAAGTATTGAATTTAGCCCATGGCTATCTATAACCTTTAGTTACATAAATATGGAATGTTCCATTTCAGAAATTTTTTTTGCAATTCCTTTTTTTCCCCTCAGGGTACACTCTCCTACAAAACCAGCCAGTTACTCAGTAAAGTGGACGATAGAAGAAAAAGAGCTGTTTGAACAAGGGCTGGTAAATAGAGCAATTTTAAATTTTTAGTAAAATAATTCTAGAAGCAAATATTGGTAAAGTTATAAGGTTAAATTAATTTATAGAGACCTGAATTTTCTTTTTAATTACAGTTTTAACACCTTTAGTTCTTCTGTAGTTAGAGTAATGATGTTTATAGTGTAGTGCAAGAGAATTCCTTTTAACTTAGATCTAAGGTACTAAAATACTAAAATAGATTTAGATCTGTAGTTTTCACGTTCTTGTGGTATTATCAAAATCCAAGAAATTGAGGTATATCTGTATACATGACACCAACTACCTGGATTAAAAGGCAAAATTATTTAGTAATCTCTTTTTTTTTTTGAAATAAAATAAAAACTTGTATATTTGAAACTGTTGGGGTGATCAGCTGAGTTTTTATTCAGATAATTTGGCATTGTATACACTGTCTAAATATTTCAGCGACTCTAAATGAAGACCAGAAACATTTTTTTTTTGCGTGAATGTCTATTACACTGAAATCTATTTAAATGTTCACAAGTTGCATAATGGAAAAGATACGTATTCTGGTTTCTAATTCTGAAAATACCCCTTAATATGAAGAAACTTTAAAAAAAAATACTTAGGATTTTTTTTTAATTTTTTTACTATCAAGATTAGTTTATATCTTTTCCTTTAAGGTGCATGATACCTAGTAATGTTCTAAGTAATTTTGAAATTATGTATATTTATACATTACATATATAGAATATTTGTATATATAAAATTTATGTATGCTAATTGAAGTATCATTAACATTTCTACAGATGATGAGAATAAAATGTTTGTGTTTGTATTTTAGTCAACACCATGAGATCTGTATACTGTATGATATTCTTATATAAATATATAAATGATCTTGAGGTTTTTATCTCTTCAAGACTTGTTCCTATACTGGTGATTTTTTTTTTATATTGATATTTCAGTGTGTTGTATGATTATCATTTATATGATCTAACTTTAATTAATCATTTATTTAAGATTCCTAACAACTTTGGTGTTTTGCCCCTTATCAAAGACCAGATACATAATGTTAGGTCTTAAAGAGGAGGTGAGGGTTAAAGAAAGACACACACACACACGCAGAAGGAGGGCAGCTCAGCAGCAAATGCAGGCTTTATGTCCAGCATAAAACCTACAGAAGTGGGAGACCAACCTAATGCCAGAGCCCGCTGCTGCTTATAGCCTGGGGCAATTTATAGGTATCGGCAGAAGAGGTCTGGGCAGTATGGCTTGCTGCCCAGCAGGACATTGATAAGATGTTCCCATGATGAGGCAGTTCTGGCCCTTGTTCCGGCGGGATGTCGTTGTGGTGTTCAGGTGTTTTTTGGACCTTTGTCAAGCAAGATAGGATAGGGATATTTCTTTAGTTGGGCCTTTGTTTGTCTTGTAGTCAGGTGGTTAGGCAGGATACTTCTCATGGCCTGAACCCCTGTGAAATGTTTCACTTCGACAAAGGTCTGCAAAATAGCAGGGAGCTTACAACATGGTGCAGTTTGTACTAACATATATGCTTACATCTGCAAATAGATTGAATTTAAGGTTCATTTTTGGGTTGTTATTTTTTATGTTGGTGGTACTTATGGGGACTACATTTGCATGGTTTAAAATTCAAAAGGTTCCTAAAGTTATAGGGTATTAAGTCTTCTCACTCTCATCTTAGCCTTCAGTTCGCTTCGCCCGGGGTAACCAGTGTCTTCTTTGTGTTTTCTTCCAGAGATATTTGTCCATATATAAGTAAATATGTATTTATTTATATAGAGATATGTAGACCTCTGTCTATTTACATTAAGGGAGATTTTAAACTTGGAATGTTTTCCTACACAACAAGCATGGAATTATTAGTTGTATTTTCAGCTTTTTTTTAAACCATTGATAAAGTTTGCTTACAGACTGAATTCTCTCAGGCTTGGGAGTAGGGACTTGGGTGGTACTGATTGATGAAGAAAGGCTTTTTTCCTTCCCTTTTTTGGGCATGGGACTCTCCCTTTGCTCTATTTTGAAACTGGTGAATATTTTCTTTGCTCCTTTTTTTATCTTCTTTTTTTTTTTTTAAGAAACAAGGTCTCGTTATGCTGCCCAGGCTTTGAACTCCTGAGTTCAGGTGATCCCCTTGCCTCAGTCTCCTGAGTAGCTAGGACCACATACATGTGCCACTGTGCCTGGCTTCTTTGCTCCTCTTGTTCGTGTTCTTTCCCCAATTTTTCTAGTGCCCAAGTCCCTACTCTTCTACTAATCATATCTTAATCCAGATCTGTCCTGTCTCCACAAATGCTCCATGCTACCTACCAATGTTATCTATTTGTCTTCATCCCACAATAAAGATAAGTAGTTTTTCATCAAGTTGATCTCAGCTAGGTGTTAAGAGCAATCTTAAATAATTAATTTATATTTACTAATAATTTTCAGAAGCACTTTGAGTTTAAGAAATTGTCCATATGTCATATTTTCTAATGAGTATCAGAAATTTACTTAAATTAAGGTTTATCACTTGGGTGAGATCTTTGAAAATGATTTGCTACCGTAAGGCATGACTGCCTGGCCTGTAAATCTGACAAAACTTTTCCTAAGTTGTGGCTAGTTTTTTGTTTTTTTCATAGTTTTAAGAATTCTAAAAATATAGAATTATTTAGCTACCTTAGGAAGTAGAGAATATCTTATGTTGGGGATATTGCAGAGAGGATTTACGTATTAAATTATAGTTAGACTTGATACCTAACAGTCCCTTTTAGCTGTCAAATTATGTGTTCCTTTCTGTGCTTGAGAACACACAGGAGCTCCCTCAAGTTGTCATTTTTTTTTTTCCCTCCACAGCTTCAGTGTTATGACGTGCACAGCCTTTGACACCTGGATGTGGGAGGTGTCAGAAGGCATTAGTTGGAGGGTAGGCAACATAGTGAGACCCCATCTCTACAAAAAATAAAAAATTAGCCCGGCAAAGTGGTGCGTACCTGTAGTCCCAGCTACTGGGAAGGCTGAGGTGGGAGGATTGCTTAAGCCTAGGAGGTTGAGGCTGCATGAGCCGTGATCACACCACTGTACTCAGCCTGGGTAACAGAGTGAGACCCTGTCTCAAAAATGAAATAAAAACTGACAACGACATTAACAGGAGAAAACCAGAGTTTGTTGATGTGTGCAGCATATACATATGCAAGAGAAACTCTGATGAGTAATGAAACGGGTAGTTAGAACTTGGGGCTTATAACATCTTAACAAAGAAGACATTTGTTGCAGGACTTCCTCATTTGTGATTTAATCGATTTAGTCTTTTAGGTCAGTTCACTGTGATATCTGATAGAGTAAAAGTCTCTGCTGTGAGATACATAATGGATATTGCAAAATAGGGAATCTGAGTTAAAAAAAGTGTTGAAATTAGCACAGAACATGTTCAGTTGATCGTATAAATGGAAAATGTAACCTGTACCCCTTTCAGGCACTTATTTATTTTAAAAAGTTATTTTAGATATGGAACATTATAACTTACAATATGAATTCATTCAGTTAGGCAATATCTTCATTTAGATAGCTATTCTTTTTAAAAAGGAGTTTCTAAATCATTTCCATCAGTTTTCAGTAGTTCAGATTCCAAAAGAATGAATGTAGGCTTTGATTTTAAGAGCATAGTCTATATAGAAGACTTTATTGTGTGCTTCAGAAAATAAAGATGTATTTTTTTTTAAGTTTTTTTTTTTTTAATGTGGTAGTGGCTTGGACTATTCTTAAGTAAATTCATCAAAAGCAATTTTTTTTCCCATTTTAATAATACAGGCTAAATTTGGCCGAAGATGGACCAAAATTTCAAAGCTAATTGGAAGCCGCACTGTTTTACAAGTGAAGAGTTATGCAAGACAGTATTTTAAAAATAAGGTAAGCAGAATATCAGTATCCTGGTTAATAATGATAATATTTAGAAAAAACTAAGCAGAAGTATTTCTTTAATTCAGGCATTAAAGTCTTACTGGTAAAAGTTTTTAAAGTATTTTATACCCACATAGTACTATACAAAACCTCAGAGGATATCTTCAGTGTTTTGAGTATTGCCATTAAATAGGTATCATGTTACTCTATTTAATTTTATAAAGTTAAATGGACAAAATAGTAATTGCTCAAAAATATACTATAAAGCAAATTGTATTTCAAAGAGAAAACCTTAGAGATCTTATCTTATTGTTTCCTCTAGAAAATAACTTTTCCTTTTAAAATATTTGTGTTGTAGAAACTTTTAAGAATTATTAGAGCTTACAGGAGGTAAATGCTATCCTGACTCTGAAATCTGTTAAATAGCTATGAAATTTTTACAATTGTTATGAAAAATTGTCTGAAACTTTAATAAACTGCAGTGTTAAGAAAGGTTTAATTGTGATCTGGTTTCTTAATCTTTCAAGTAATTTGTGCTATATGCAACCATGTCGTTTTGATATTTAGAATTTTTTTTTTTTCTTTTTTTTTTTTTTTGAGACAGAGTCTTGCTCTGTCGCCCAGGCTGGAGTGCAGTGGTGCGATCTCGGCTCACTGCAAGCTCGGCCTCCCAGGTTCACGCCATTCTCCTGCCTCAGCCTCCTGAGTAGCTGGGACTACAGGTGCCCGCCACCACACCTGGCCAATTTTTTGTATTTTTAGTAGAGACGGGGTTTCACCGTGTCAGCCAGGATGGTCTGGATCTCCTGACCTCGTGATCCACCCGCCTCGGCCTCCCAAAGTGCTGGGATTACAGGCGTGAGCCACCGTGCCCGGCCTAGAATTTTTTAATATATCCTCTTTGAAGCCTAGGAACATAATTATATAAAATTGGTAAGTGTCTTGAGTGAAATTTGATATTATCTCTTCATGTAGATAATGAGTTCTACCCTGTAGGTAAGATTTGTTTCGGTGTTGTCTAGACATAGGTGGTAACTAATGGAATGGATTCATCATACATCGATTGTATGCTCCATCTTTCAACCAAACAGAAGCATTTTCAAGGCAGCTCACCAGGGTTTAGTTAATACCTCAGAACAGAATAAAGCTTAACTTGGTTATTCTTACTCTTAGGCTTCCAAGATACATGCTATGTATCTTGGAGTGCCAGTTTTACTCAAAGACCTGGGGTAGAAGGATACATTTTTCATATTGTAACAGAGACTAGTATATTATGAAATCAATGCAAAATTTCATCTGAATTTTTAAAATTATAGACAGGATACTTAAAATAAATAGCAGGGATGTTAAAAGCTGTTTCAGGCAATATGTCCAAATCTCTTTCCCTCCTGCTACCCTTTTATTCTCTACATAGTAAGCCAGTTAACCTCAAATATTTAATCCTGGAATTCTGTGTGATACAGGATCTATAAATAACCTGTTTCTGAGAGCTGTCATATCTCTTATGTATGTTAGTCATTTATAAGACTTTTTAAAAACTTCGTAGGTAAGGATTTTATTTCATGTTATATTTGCTCATTCACTTTCATTATCTTTTTTTGTTGTTGTTACATTACCAGATATTTATGTCTGTAGTAGCAGGTATGGGAGATACTTTTATGGCTTAATATAATCTCTCTTTTTTTCTCAAGTATCACATTAAAATATAATCTCTATAATATAAGCTCATTAAATAAGCCTGCAAAAGACAGTTTGTTTTCTGTTGTCCCTTATTTAAATGAAAGGTAGTTTTAATGTACTCAGTGAAGATGTCAGATAGATTAAGGATTATTTTAGCATTATAAGAAATAATCAGCTACAGTATCACATAGTCTGAGAAGCCTTTAAAAATATTTCAATATATTGTACGATACCTTAGTATGATAGTTGTTGGTTTATTCCATACAGTTGATCTGAGCCAGGCTGCTGTTTTCAACTTAATATTGAAAAATAAGTAGTAAATATAGGTCATGATTATTTGATTAATAAAAATCACCAGACCCATGAATTAGTTATATATTTATAGAAATTTTAAATGGTGATCCTTTACATTTGAAATGCAGTTGTAGTCTATGGTCCTACCACCATGAACGTGCCCAATCTTGTCTAAAATGCAGTTATTATAAACCCTTTAAAGAAAAACACATTGCCTGTAATCCCAGCACTTTGGGAGGCCGAGGCAGGTGCATCACAAGGTCAGGAGATCGAGACCATCCTGGCTAACATGGTGAAACCCCATCTCTACTAAAAATACAAAAAATTAGCCGGGCACGGTGGCAGGCGCCTGTAGTCCCAGCTATTCGGGAGGCTGAGGCAGGAGAATGGCATGAACCCGGGAGCTGGAGCTTGCAGTGGCCTGGGATTGCGCCACTGCACTCCAGCCTGGGTGACAGAGCGAGACTCCGTCTCAAAAAAAAAAAAAAGAAAAGAAAAAAAAGAAAAGCGCATTAGAGGTATAATGTACCATTTACATGTATTCAGTTTAATAACACTGTATATTTATCCTTTTTTGTGTGTACCAGTGATTAAATTTTTAAATCTTAATATTATGGGGATTTTATTTTGATTTTTAATAAGGTCAAATGCGGTCTGGATAAAGAAACACCAAATCAGAAGACCGGCCATAATCTTCAAGTTAAAAATGAAGATAAAGGGACAAAGGCATGGACACCATCATGTTTAAGGGGACGTGCTGATCCCAACTTGAATGCTGTAAAAATTGAAAAGTTATCTGATGATGAAGAAGTAGACATCACAGATGAGGTGGACGAGTTGTCTTCTCAAACACCCCAGAAGAATTCTAGCAGTGATCTCTTGTTAGACTTTCCTAATAGTAAAATGCATGAAACCAATCAAGGAGAATTCATTACTTCTGACAGCCAGGAAGCTCTCTTTTCTAAGTCTTCCAGGGGCTGTCTTCAAAATGAAAAGCAAGATGAAACACTTTCAAGCTCAGAAATTACACTGTGGACTGAGAAACAGAGCAATGGTGACAAAAAATCAATTGAATTAAATGACCAGAAATTTAATGAATTGATTAAAAACTGCAACAAGCATGATGGAAGGGGAATAATAGTTGATGCCAGGCAGTTGCCTTCTCCAGAGCCTTGTGAAATTCAGAAAAATTTGAATGATAATGAAATGCTTTTTCATTCTTGCCAAATGGTAGAGGAAAGCCATGAGGAAGAAGAGCTTAAGCCACCAGAACAGGAAATAGAAATAGATAGAAATATCATTCAAGAAGAAGAAAAACAAGCAATTCCTGAGTTTTTTGAGGGGCGCCAAGCTAAAACACCAGAACGCTATTTGAAAATTAGAAATTATATTTTGGATCAATGGTAAGAAAGAATTACATTATAGATGTTGTTTTAAAACGTGATATTCTGAAGTATTTTAATTAGGCCTATACAGAATTTAGAATTTTGCTAGTAAATCTAGAGATCACTACAGTAGGGAAGATTTAAGATTTCTTGTAATGAAAAAAAGCTTTGGTAAACATTATCACCTATAACTCTCATAACCCATCTTTTTGCCTATTCATTAGATTGTGGGCCTGGAATAAAAGGGATAGACGATTGCTTTATGAAGCAGTCTCCTAGGACAGCGTTAGGAAGATATAGAGAGAACACCACTGCACGGGAAAAGGGAAATAATTCTTTCCGGTTTATCATGTACTTTGAGTACAAAGATAGAAAAATTTGATGACAGCAGTAGTATTAAATGTGGCCAGATTGCAGAAACACTTCTAAATAGTGATCTTAAATGCTTTTAACTTTGAACTTGTGACAATAATGTGCTATTAATTTCTTCATCCAGTTTTATCAGGATACAGTTTTCTGATAGATGAAGCTTATTCTCTAGATTGTCAGTACCGTTTATTTGAATTATTTAATGAAGCTTAGGGAACAAACCCCAAAATTTCCCACCTTACTAGCCTAATTTGAATTTTTTAAAACAGCTTAATTAAACCATCATTAAACATTTATAATTGCTGGCTGGGCACAGTGGCTCATGCCTGTAATCCCAGCACTTTGGGAGGCTGAGGCAGGCAGATCATTTGAGGTCAGGAGTTTGAGACCAGCCTGGCCCACGTGGTGAAACCCTGTCCCTTCTAAAAATAACTATATATATATATTAGCTGGGCATTGTGGCAGGTGTCTGTAATCCCAGCTACTCAGGATGCTGAGGCAGGAGAATCTCTTGAACCTGGGAGGCAGAGGTTGCAGTGAGCCGAGATCGTGCCACTGCACTCCAGCCTGGGCGACAGAGCGAGACTTCATCTCAAAAAAAAAAAAAAATTATTTTTAAAAATCATAATTGCTAATTCTGTTTCAGAAGCTATCAAATTGTATAGGGCCATCTTTACAGAGAGCTTCCTAGTTCCTTGAGCAGGGGTTCTGCTTTGTCCTTTGTTCTCTTTTGTATGGAAAGCCTTCCTGTCCTATTGCTATTGTTAACTTCCTGCTGTAACCTAGAAGGGTTACCAAAGGAAAACAACTTGCTATAATAAATCGGTAACCTTCATTTTACCCACACAATATAAGTCTTTGGTTTTTAAAGATGGCTGTATTCTTAAAGGAGGAGGTTTGTTCTTGAGTTATCTTACAGATGGTGGAGGTGCTGAAAGTACAACATGTGGGTTAGGTTGGCATCATAGTAAAGAATACTTGCAAGGAACAACTCCTGACTTTACATAGTGCTTTATAGTTGTTAAAGAGCTTTGCTACATCATCTTACTTGATTTTTTAAAACAATCCTGTAAAATAATGCAGATGGTATTATGTTTATTTGATAAAGAATGATTCTGAGATCAGGAGAGGTTTAGGGACCTGCCTTGGATTATACAACCAGTCACTGACACATGAAGGACTTCAGTCTTCATGTGTCTGTAAATCACTCTTTTATTCTACATGGCCTAATTCACACTAATGACAAAGACTAGTTAAATTAGATTTCTATTGGTATCTACTTTTGTTTTTGGAAATAAGAGGGTGAATGGCCAAAATTTAAGGACCTTGAAATCATAACTAACTCAAAAATGTCCATATTGGTCAGGAGTAGTGGCTCACAACCTTTTTTTTTTTTTTTTTTTTTTTGAGACAGAGTCTCACTCTTTCTCCCAGGCTGGAGTGCCTTGGCATGATCTCAGCTCACTGCAACCTCTGTCTCCCAGGTTCAAGTGATTCTTCTGCCTCAGCTCCCATGCAGCTGGGACTACAGGTGCGTGCCACCACGCCCGGCTAATTTTTGTATTTTTAGTAGAGACTGGGTTTCACCACATTGGCCAGGCTGGTCTAGAACTCCTGACCTCAGGTAATCCACTCACCTCGGCCACCCAAAGTTCTGGGATTACAGGTGTGAGCCACCACGCCCGGCTGACTCACAATTTTCATCCCCGTGCTTTTGGAGGCTGAGACAAGAGGATTACTTGAGGCCAGGAGTTCGAGACTAGTTTGGGCAACATAGCAAGACCCTGTCCCTACAAAAAATTTTTTTAAAACTTAGGCGCGGTGTTGTGTGCCTGTAGTTGTAGCTACTCAGGAGACTGAAGCAGGAGAATCACTTGAGCCCAGGAGTTTGAAGCTGCAGTGAGGTGGGATCATGCCACTGTACACTAGCCTGGGCAACAGAGCAAGATCCTGTCTCTTAAAAATGTCCATATGAATGATCACTATATTCTTGTTACTTTAATCAAATTCTATATTTGTTACTTTGAATTTTGAATTCCAAATGAGGCAGATTAATTTATATAGGTACTATAAATTACATGGCAATAGTTTCCTAAGTCATTTGCCTTGGTTCATGAAACTGGTTAGGTATTGCTATTTCATTATGGTGATTTAGCAGAACATTGTGAAAGCAAAAATTGTTTTGAACAGGAACTCACATTTGTTCAGAAATAGAAGAGAGTGAGTGGTTAGGCACTGGAGGTGGTGTTAAAAAAAAATAGAAGAGTTAAAGTTTTGAAATAAAAAGAAGCCTGCCAGATTTGTTTATAGATAAAGATTCTTTTCATAAAAGCAGATGCAGTTGATTCCCTGGTTAGGGGAATATTTTTATTAAAATAGTAACCAGTACCATTACTGAATGCCTCCCGAATACCATGTACTGTACTTAAATCATCTCCAATCCTTTTGACAACCTCGTTCTCACTTTATAGATAAGAAAAATGAGGTTCACAGAGGATAAAAAACTTTTCCAGGTCACACTAGGTAAAGGAGATATTGGAGTCTGCAGTCTTGACTCATTATTTTCACACTTCCAACTCATGGCCTTGACCCTGACTTTTCACTCTGCTTTGGATGTTCTTCCCCCATATTTTGTCAAGTGTTGCTTTCTTGTCTCATTGAAATCTGGTCGAGGGAAATTAGAGGCTTATCTAAAATATCTCACATATCTCCTCCCTTTCATTCTCTTGCCCTGTATTTTATTTTCTTTATAGAACTTATTACTACCACAAATAATTACATTTTTATTTGTTTACTGTCTCTTCTCCCCTCAACCCCCATGATAATGCAGGCAACATGAGGGCAGATTTTTATCTGTTTTGTTTGTTGTTGAATCTAGTTCTTAAACAATGCTCAGAATATAGAAGGTACTCTTATTTGTTAGGGGGAAAAGATCGAACATGAATCATTATTCCATGAACATATTTTTAGAGTCCTTACCATTTGTTCAGCACTGTGCTAGATTACTGAGTTCTGTTTAAAGCCTTTTACTTTGAGTAGTCTTCAGTTAGCTCAGTCTAGTTTTTTCAGACTCCTTTGGTTTCTTGGTAGCCATACTCTTGCCTGCTTTATTGCTTTCATTTGTACAATTTTGTTTCATTTTCTTGCAAGACACACTGAAATCTCAACGTTTCTATGGAAGGTGTGGTACCCTCCCACATCACAAATTATTTTTACCCTCTATTCTGCTTAGTGAGGCCTAGCCTAAGCACCCTATCTATCTAAAGTAGTCTATGCCTGTTTGTCCCACTCTATCCCCTTGACCTTCTTACTTAGCACTATTGCTACCTGAAAGTGTAATATATATGGTTCATTGATTATTGACAGTCCCTCCCATTAGAATGTAAGATCTGTAAGGTTAGAAATTTTACATTATCTGTGTATCTCTAGTGCTTAGAACAATATATTCATGGAATAAAATAATGATCGAATGAGAAATACCCATGTTATATGAGATATCTGAATACCTAAATTTATAATATCTATACTTGAATCCTGATTATGTCCCTTCCTTAAGTAAGTGCTTTACTCTGACCCCCTTGCTTCCTCATTTCCAAAATGAGAATAATATTAATAAAATCTACCTTGTATAGTTGTAAAGATTAAGGATGTGTAACTCAGCACAATAATCTGGCTTAAGCATTCAGTAATTAGTTTCTACTAAGTTCTTTATTACTCGAATTTTATGTTGTACCATCTAGCAAGGTACATTAAGTATATTCAATAAATACGTGTTTTATTATATAAACCTCTTATTTCTTTCATAATCTTTGGGAGTTTCTTGATTTCCCCTTTGGAATCCCTTATAACGTCTGTTTCTGTTTTCCACTGAGAGTAAGCACTTAATATTTGTTGTCATCATAATTAAAAACAAATATAAAATGTTTAAGCATTTGTAAGATAGCTGATAATTGAAAGACACTGTTAAGCAAAATAAGAGTAGATGAATCTAAGTAATATATTACAAATTGGAAACGTCTAATACTAAATCTTTTCTATATATTATCAAACTGCTCTTTGTATTTAAAGATTCAATTTGTGTCTGTACATAAATTTCTGAATTCAAGGTCCTGGGATAACTGGAATCTATGAATTTAACATTGGGGAAGAAATATTGCTTGTAAAAAATTATGCTAATAAGTTATTGTATCATTTAAGGATATTTTATTTCAGAAAAAAAGTACATGGGTATTATGTATTAGTATTGTATTTATTACACATTTATACATTGAAAGGGGTTAAAATTTAGAGATATTTCAAATATTGAAAGTTTTCCCCAGAAATCTTTTTTCACGTTTTTATTTATCCAAAATAATTGTACTTCTGTCTCTTAATTAGGGAGATATGCAAACCAAAATACTTAAATAAGACCTCAGTACGTCCTGGCCTGAAGAACTGTGGAGATGTTAATTGTATTGGACGGATTCATACATACCTCGAATTGATAGGAGCAATCAATTTTGGATGTGGTAAAAATAAAAACCCAACAACATCTTTTACTCGACATTTTTTATCCTTACAGCACTTATTCATTTCTATGATGGTTAGAATTCAAGTAGTTATAGGTATATAGAATTCAGAGGTGCTGTAACATTATTTAATAAATGTTTTATTAAGATTTTACTGTTGGTTAAACTGTGTTTTCATTTGACCTACACTGAAAATTGAGAGTGTAACTTTAAAGGTAAAATATTCAATCTAAGTAATAGAAATAATTTAAGAATACAGTTCTTTAGCAGATAAAAGTAAAATTATTTTATGAAAAGTCTAATAATAGCCCATTTAATTTGCAAATACTGTATTCATGCTAGAAATACTACCTAGCAATGTTTAAATAAAGGAAATAATTTGTGAGCCTCTACACTTACATGTGATAAAAGCGTCAAAATATTTTTTGTGGAAGACAATTGTACCTTAGTTTTTTTCAAATTTAAAGTTAATGAATATACATATTTTAAAATATATTCTACTCTTTTTTTTTTTTTTTTTCTCGCTCTGTTGCC
The DNA here is from genome assembly GCF_000001405.40 of Homo sapiens. Taxonomy (NCBI): domain Eukaryota; kingdom Metazoa; phylum Chordata; class Mammalia; order Primates; family Hominidae; genus Homo; species Homo sapiens. Next base: position 58,676,391 of record NC_000001.11, on the reverse strand, counting down.
CAGGCTGAAGTGCAGTGGTGTGATCTCTGCTCACTGCAACTTCCGCCTCCCGGGTTCAAGCGATTCTTTTGCTTCGGTCTCCAGAGTAGCTGGGACTACAGGCGCATGCCACCACACCTGGCTAATTTTTGTATGATTAGTAGAGACGGGTTTCACCATATTGGCCAGGCTGGTCTCGAACTCCTGACCTCGTGATTTGCCCGCCTCAGCCTCCTAAAGTGCTGGGATCACAGGCGTGAGCCACCGCGCCTGACCTCTACTCTTTTATTGAATTAAAATGACACAACCATTCATAGCTACAAAGTGATAAGGTACATAAAACCTTGTAACCCATGGTTTAAGAAGAGTATATTCTGTGTTTGTCTATGAAAGGGAGACAACTAACAAGAAGATTTTCTGTCAGATATGATTTTCTTTTATATTGAGCTAGATAGAATTTAGTTTGCCCGGGAATCTGTCCTTCATTTCAGTGTCTTTGTTTTCCCAAAGCCTTGAATATTGAGACTAGCTTTTCAGGAAAACTAAAGGATTTTTGCTTCCTCAGCCACCAAAAGAAAAATTAAATCATGTTTTCTGTATTAGACTGCCAAAGTTAGCAAACTACCCATTTTCTAAATATTCCATTTATTAAGATTTTCTTATAATAACAGCATTACTTTTAATTTGAGGGGTGCTCAGTAGCACATCAAATGTATGATCGTGAAATAAGAGTCATAGAAGCCCCACTATAGTCAGTGTACATGTGTCTTACTGTTTAACAAATGAGTTTCACAAAATAATAGATGGTTTTATCTTTCCTGAATTCCAATAGAACAGGCTGTGTATAATAGGCCACAAACAGTTGACAAAGTACGAATCAGAGACAGAAAAGATGCAGTAGAAGCATACCAACTTGCCCAGCGTCTGCAGTCTATGGTAAGCAGTCATCTCTCTCAGTGATCTCTCCACATTGCTGCTTACTCTGTTTAGTGTGGTTTACGTACTTACCTTGAGCTGTTTAATAAATGACCATTTAGTAGAAAAACATGTTTCCTCTTGTGTTTCACCTTAGCAATTCGCTTTTCTGGGTTTCATTCAATTTCATGTTGCTTTCTGAGGCAAAAACAAACCTAAAAACCCTTAAAATGTACTAGCAAACTTGATGCAGAAGCATAATGTTTTCCTAAAGTGGTCTTGGGATGCTTCGTTTTAATTTATAAATCTAATGTGTCTTTTAAAAATATATAGTTCAGTTTTTTTTTCTCTCATTGATTTTTCTTTTAAAATTCTTAACCTTAAGAATCACCTTTTTGGAATAACTAGACTTTTTTTTTATTCTTGGAGTCAGTTTTATAATATTTTAAAATTCGTAAATCATACTTTAAAAATAAAGTGACCTACTAGGAGAAAAAGAAACATCTCGAGGGGAAAAAAAAACAAATAAAAATGTGATCCAACACTTTTTTTTTCTTTTTTTTTTTTTTTTGAGACAGAGTCTCGCTGTGTCACCCAGGCTAGAGTATGGTGGTGCCATCTCGGCTCACTGCAAGCTCCATCTCCCGGGTTCACACCATTCTCATGCCTCAGCCTCCCGAGTAGCTGGGACTACAGGTGCCCGCCATCACACCAAGCTAATTTTTTTTGTATTTTTAGTAGAGACAGGGTTTCACCTTGTTAGCCAGGATGGTCTCGATCTCCTGACCTCATGATCCGCCCGCCTTGGCCTCCCGAAGTGCTGGGATTACAGGCGTGAGCCACCGTGTGCAGCCGATCCAACACTCTTTATAAGGCAGAGTCATAATATGATCCTGTTAGTTTTACTAATGGATTAAATTAGTAATAAATAAGATATGAAAAAGAAAGTATAGGTGCTAAAATAGCTGTTTTTCTCAGAGTATTTAGGCTATAAACCATTTCTATCTAGATTTACTATCTTAAAGATGTTATCAATTAGAGTTGCTGGATATGGTGCTAGTCATACACTATCCTTTGGCAACTGGTCCATTTTAAAGGCCTCACTATTGAGGTTTGCAAAACTGGATTTTAATAATGTAGTCAACCAACTTTGTAATTTCTCATTATTTGATCAACTAGGCCACCTCCTTTCTAAAGCTGGAAATAATAATTATTTTGCTTCTAGTTTTCAATATTATACCTCTTGCTGTGTGTTCTTGCAGATTTTCTACCACAAGTGGTTGAAAAGGAAGCCATTTTCTTGATGGTTCTTTTTGATCTTAAAAATATTTTTGTTCCTACTCGGGAGTCTGAGGCAGGAGAATCACTCGAACCGGGAGGTGGGAGGTTGCAGTAAGCAAAGATCACGCCACTGCACTCCAGCCTGGGCGACACAGTGAGACTCCGTCTCAAAAAAAACCCAAAATTTTGTCATAGTGTTTTAGCTCCTACATGATGAAAGGAAATATAAAAGCTAAGAAGAAATGCTAGCAAAATACAGAAAATCATTACTGATCTTATTTTTTAAATAGCCCTCTGGTGCCAACACCCAGCCCACACCCTGCCCACCTGCTACTGGTGCTCCTGCCCTTACCTCGCCATCACTGATTTATTATATTTGTAACTAGAGTGCTAACTATTGAACATAAATTAATAAAGTTTAGTCAGTCATTGCCAGAGGTTATACTATTTAAATTGATAGATTAATTGACTTTTAGATAATTATTGTTTTCATTTTGTGTATTAATGTGCTATGATTTCTCCATATTAATCTTGCTACCTTTTGCTTTACTTTAATCTCATCGCAGCGTACAAGGAGACGTAGGGTCCGAGACCCATGGGGAAACTGGTGTGATGCAAAGGACTTAGAAGGACAAACGTTTGAGGTAACTTTGACCTTTCAAATGGCTCATCCATGAAAACTGGTTTTTAAATATATATTTGTACATCTTAATGTCATATGTATTGTACTTGTTTCATACATTAACATGTATGTGTTCATTCCCATGTTAATTTGTCTGGAAGTCACCAGTAAACACCAAAGTAGAAGGCATTGGTGGTGCAGTTAACTAGGAGTTTAACTCATTTCAGAACTTGGATTCTCTGTCTCTGTATTCTTGTCTCTAACTCAAGATAAGGGTGTCAAGAAGTTGGTATGCCCAATTCGTTTCATTAAACATTTATTGGAAGAGGTTCTGATATACCAATTAAAATATTGTTCTAAGCATTAGACATTAGACACACATGTGTTCTAAATATATATATTTTTTGTAACAGCTAGTGCAGTAGAATGGATAGAATGTGTGAATGTGTACGTACTGGCTTTGTTACTTTAAGCAACTACTTAATCTCACAGAATCTCATGCTTTTTTAACTTACGAATTGTGAATAATAATAATACCTCCCTCAAAGTATTGTTGTAAGAAAGAAACGAGATAGACTATATAAAGATGCTAGTACTAGGTATTCAGTAAGCCTTGCATGCACAAAGTACTCAAACTTGAGTTCTCTTTCCTCCTCCGCATTCCCTGCCCTCAACTTCTCACCTGAGTACTATTCTAGGCACAGTAATTAGTAATTCATCCTTCCCATAAGGGGCTTGTATTTCTAATAGGAAAGACAAAACCTATGGTAAGTTCAATAAGGTTGGTCCCAAGAATTGTAAGTTTCTCCCAAAGGCTGTGATCAGGGCAGGTTTCGTAGAGTATGTGGGGTATAATCTGATCTGAAGGATCTGCAGAAGAATCTCAAAATGGAGATGAATACACTTTAGGCTGAGGGAACAAAGCTGGAGACATGGGAAAATACTAGATATATTCTGGAAAAGGTGCATAGTTCATTTGGACTAGGGTGTAAGTTGGTCGTAGAAATGGAATAGAGATTTACTTTATTTTATAAACACTTATAAAGGGCTTACTGTGTGTCAGACAATGTCAGTATTTTATAAACATTAACTCAGTCTTCACAATAATACCATGACAGTGGTATTATTGTTTACTTTTTATTATTAATTTTATTGTTCCCATTTTTAAAGATGAGGTAACTGAAGCATGAAAGCTTTAGAATTTGCCTAGGGTCACCAAGCTAGTAAATAACTGGGCCAGACATTCTAGATCCAGAATCTGTTCTTAATCATTACTCTGCACTGTCTCTCAGTTGTGAAAGAAAACTCAACACAGTAGAATATGGTAAGTAGAAATGGGAAATAAAAGACTCAGGTGATTCTGACGTTTTTGAACCTGGGTGACTGGTACCATTGATTGAAATGGGCAAATCAAGAGAAGGAGTAAATTTTCAGTTTGGGATGGCCGTGTCTTTTGAAACAATTTTTTAAAAATACTGTCCAGTCTTTCTACATGTTGGTAGCAAAAAGGAAGCCCATCTATATCAATTTAGTCTCTCTTGTCCTCACATGCCCTTCAATTTGATTTTAAAGGACTATTTTTATTCTGCCTCTTAGTAGATGATGGACTCCTTAATCAATTGGCATTTTGTTTTAGCATCTCTCTGCTGAGGAGTTGGCAAAAAGAAGAGAAGAGGAAAAAGGCAGACCTGTTAAATCTTTAAAAGTGCCAAGACCAACAAAAAGGTGTAGTGTTATATAAATGTGGTTTTTAAACATTTATCACAAATGGCTAGATAATATATGAAAAAATATTCAATAGCTGCATTATATTGTTCACATTAAGTTTAAAAAAATACTGCTACAATTTTTTAGATTTTTTTTGTTTCACTGATTATGAATTTGGAAGACCTTGAACAAACATTTTAAATTTGTTCAGATTCATTGAACATATGATCCAACATATGTTGTAAAGGGGCCCTGTTTAGGACAGGTTGGTCATTCAACTCTAGACGCTATGGACAGGAACCTTCATGAAATGACTGGGTTTTCTTTGGGTGGTACTAATTGTTAGCAAGTTGTTGCATGGTTTGTTGTTTTCTAATGCATGTGTAATCTAAAATTTGAGCCTTTTAAAATTAAGGGTCACCAAATAAGTTAAATGTTCCGATTTTCTATTCCCTCTTCCTGCAGATGCCCCATTGAATAGACTGTAGTTTTGTCAGTGTACCTTTTAAAAGAAGATATCCAGGAATGCCACTAGATCATATTTTTGCCTGATAAATGTCCTCGGGTAATCCTTAGGTTCTCATTTATTAAACAATAATTTAAATAACACTGTTAGCTGTATTTTAAGCACTTTATATTTATTAGCTCATATAGTCTTCATGACAACCCTGTGCATTAGTTAATGTTCTCACTCCCATTTTATAGATGAGGAAACTGAGAGGCATAGAGAGGTTTAATAACTTGCTCACGCTGTCAAGTAGTGGAGCTGTTGATTTTAAACCCAAGTGTTAAGCTTAAGAGTTCATACCCCTAATCATTACAGTATATATTACCTCTCTAAAGTAAAAATAAAACTTACACAGTTGTCGTGAGACTGAATTAGATAAACTATGTAAAAAATAGTCCTCCATAAGCTAGGACTCCTCATCCAGTATCCAGATAATTGATTTTCTGACTCTAAATGTGAGACTTATATTTATTGTGATTTTCAAGTCATTGTTCAAGGTCTTCAGGATCTTTTTGAATCCAGATCCACTTTTCTCATTTTAGCCTTTGTAGCACTGTATCATTAACATTTCAATAAGCTTGCCTTTCCTGCCATTACTCACTGATTGCAATGTTTAATTGAATAAATGTAAACCTCATTGTATATATTTAAACAACGAAGACATTCATTCTTCAATCAGCTATATAGATTACCACAATTAACGCATATATCTTCATCTTATACAGAAGGATAATCATATCGGATGTCTTGTTTAATTTCAGATAAAATATATTTAAGTCTTTAGTTTCTAACAGATTATTCCTATCAATAGTGTCTACAATAAGGTCTACTTATCATGACTTTTCATGAACTCATTATTTTACTTAGTCACCTCTTCACTTGGTTAAGGATCACAAATCAGCTGTTTCATAATTTTTTCTAGAATTTTACTACTGTTCAACATCTAGTTCCTCCTTTTCTGCAGTCTGCTTTTTTGTATTGTGAAACAAGCTCAATAATTGTCTATTTCTAGTCCTTCAGCAACTTTCCCATTCTCTGCAGTTCCTCAACAAACACTGACAGCGGTTCCATATCCGTGGTTCTTAAGTACTCCAGGATGTTCTTTCTGTGCTATTTTCTCATCTATCTTGGCCTTCAGTTTCTTTTTGTGTTGATTAAACACTTTCTAATTTAAAGGTCTTTCTTTATTCAACAAGTATCTTTGAATGTGTACTGTATATGTCAGGCACGGTTCTGATCACTTGGGATACATTATTAAGCAAAACAAAATGTTCTCTTGAAGCTAACCATCTATGGTTGAATGGAAATGGAATTGCCCTGCTCTCTTCCAGTTGTGTTAATGCGAATGTATTCCTGTGTGTTTTTCTTTCCCTGAAGATAGCCTAAAAAACCTTTTTATTGTTCTTAATATAGTTCTCAAGCCTCAATTCTTTACTGACATTTCTGAGATTTATGTGTGCTTTTGACCTTGCTTAGGTTCTCTCTTTTTCACCTCTTTTTACTTTTTCACTTTTTTGTTTTTTTTTTTTTTTTTTTTTTTTTTGGAGACAGGGTCTCACTCTGTCACCCAGGCTGGAGTGGAGTAGTAGAGTGGTGAAATCATGGCTCACTGCAGCCTCCACCTCCTGGGCTTAAGTGATCCTCCCACCTCAGCCTCCCGAGTGGCTGGGACTACAGGCACACGCCACCACGCTCAGCTAGTTTTGAAATTCTTTTGTAGGGGTGGGGTTTCACCATGTTATCCAGGCTGGTCTCAAACTCCTAGGCTCAAGGGGTCTGCCCACCTCGGCCTCCTGAAGTGTTGGAATTACAGATGTGAGCCACTGCACCTGGCCACTTTTTCACTTGAAGAGTTTATGATAGGAGTAATACATTAATATCTTTACCAGAACTGTTTGTCATTCATTCATTCAAAAAATGTTTTAAGTTCCTATTCTATAGTGGGCACATTATTGAACTGACAAGTGTTTTTGATAAACTTCCATCTTTCTTGAACCTTTTTTTGGGTCTCATGACAGTTAATTATATTTTCATTGGACTTTTTGAAATCTGCTTTTAGTGTGGGACATATGTCTGATAGTTTATAGTGTCCTCTTTGAGTGTTAAAGGAAATTAAGACAACAGAGCAACTTTATCTCAAAGTTCCTGGGTTTTTTTTTTGTTCTTGTTAAATCTAAAAGAACAGTGCTTCTTTCGAAAGGGTTTATGGAATTTCCTACAAAACTCTCTCATTTAGACAGAATTTGGGTTTAGATTATTGATATACACTTTCAGATTTACAAATAAATGTTATTTTCCTAATCTTGTTGAGATTGTATTGAAAATTTTTTTTCTTTTTCAGCTCGTTTGATCCCTTCCAACTGATACCTTGTAATTTTTTTAGTGAAGAAAAGCAGGTACTATTTATGCATTAATGAATGACAGTAGACAATCCCCGCTTCCCCGTCAAACAGGAAATGCTTACTCTTTTTCCGTATGTGCAAGGCATATGTATAAAAAGACTGAAAATGAGAGAGAATTTCTCCCTGCTGGAATTTTAAATCATAATGTTTTAAAAGTCTAGTTTGTGCTGAGCTTTGGTTAGTGCTGAGAACTTGGTGGGGTGGATAAAGGAGAACAGGGTGGGCATTCCAGGTGGGGAAAACAAAAATCTCTATTTTTATGCTCCCCCGTTTTGTTTTGTTTTTTATATTTCAGGAGCCATTTCAGGTGAAAGTGGCTTCAGAAGCACTTTTAATAATGGATTTGGTAAGGATAATCTATTGTGTTTACTTAGTTATTCTGATTTCTACTCTTGTGTATTTTTATTGCAGGCGTAAGACAGAGTATGGAAGACGTGTATTTTGGATCTTAACTGTCCTCTTTTACAAGGAATCTAAAAATAAGTCTTTTCTTTTGGAGAAAAGCCAAACAATTGCATGTTTCCATATTTTAGAGAAAATAAATTAATGTGAGTTTTTGCAGACTGTTTACCATCATTAACCCTATTTTAAGTTTCTAATATATGTGTCTGCCACTTTTTAGATCACTGAAACAAAGCACAACTCCTGTAATTTGGAGGGTTTTTTTGTTTTTACTAAACTACCGATACCTCCAACAGTTTTTGTGTTTGTGATGTCTTTGTGTAGAAGGATTTAGAGTGATTTTTACTTTGTATCCTTACATAATACCTCCCTTGAGTAGGGAGAGTAAATGGTATCTTCATTTTGTAATTGCAAAAGTAGAGTCTGAGAATTTTTAAGTGTTTGGTTGAAAGCTTCTCAGCCAGCAGTGAAGATAGACCTGAAATCTTAGTTTCTGTGCACTGATCCTAGCATCTAGTTCCTCTCCTATGCTACTTTATTTTATAAAAGCATGATGGCTATACTTACAAATGACTTTCTTATGATAAGTGAGTTTTGTTACTTTGTCAGGTGGGTTTGTGCGTTTGGGCTAAGTCTGTCTTGTATTTCTTTTAGCATGCTCATGTTTCTATGGCAGAAGTGATTGGTCTGTTAGGAGGAAGATACTCAGAAGTTGATAAAGTAGTTGAAGTAAGTTCTCTCTTTTAAAAAAATGTTTTAGTTATTTAGTCCTACTACCATACCAAATATTTTTATAGAATTCAGTTAATATAATTAAAATACAGACTTTACCTATGATATATATGAGAATATGCAAATGTAGCAAGTTATATATTCCCAGAAGTGACTTAACATTCTATATGCCTAGCGCCTGTTTCTTTTTACCACCGAGAGAACATTGCCAGGCCTTGGGTCCTCATTACCTTTATTAGTAAAAAGCTACAACTTCTAAGAGGCCAGAAACAGGTACTAACACTTTAGTTGAAAGTTTGTATGCATCATTCTGTTGAAATTATTGTCATAAGTAACAGGAGTCATTGAAAGAATACCTTTGTACAGGTATTATGTGGGCTGACCTGGAAAACTAACCATTATTATGACCTTGTTTGAGTAGAAAAATGCATGCTAAGTTCCTAGCATATAATCAGACTTTTGGAGTTTAAGTCATTTGCAAGTTAAAGGCAACTGTGGTATTGTTAAATAAAAGTCTTGGCCTTGAAAAGTTTCCGTATCTTTGAAAGAATTATAACATTAGAGTAATAGAATTAACAGGATTTTAGTATAATCATTTGAGGATCAATCGTTTATAGGTCTGTGCAGCAGAACCATGTAACAGTCTGAGTACAGGACTACAGTGTGAGATGGATCCTGTATCACAAACACAGGCCTCAGAAACCTTGGCTGTTAGAGGCTTCAGTGTTATTGGATGGTATCATTCTCATCCTGCTTTTGATCCTAATCCTTCCTTACGAGATATTGACACACAAGCTAAATACCAGGTATTACATGTATATTTATATTCTGTAAATGGTTGCACACCCCCTCAATGCTCCCTTTTAAATAGATAAACTTTAAACATTTTTCATATTACATTTCTAATATTCTTTATACTGGGGATTTTGTTTGTTTATTTTTATTTATTTTTATTATTATTTTTTTTTTGAGACAGAGTTTCGCTCTTGTTGCCCAAGCTGGAGTGCAATGGCACGATCTTGGCTCACTGCAACCTCTGCCTCTTAGGTTCAAGTGATTCTCCTGCCTCAGCCTCCCAAGTAGCTGGGATTACAGGCGTGCACCACCACGCCTAGCTAATTTTTTGTAGTTTGAGTAGAAACAGGGTTTCACCATGTTAGCCAGGCTGGTCTCAAACTCCTGACCTCAGGTGATTGGCCCGCCTCGGCCTCCAAAAGTGCTGGGATTATAGGCATGAGCCACCACACCCAGCCAAAAAAAAAAAAAAGAAAAAAAATACATATACTGGGGGTTTTAAAAGAACATGCATTTTTTTTTCTGATTGCAAGATTGATAATTGTTTATGTAAACATTTAGAAAGTCAGTTATTTTATTAAGTACAAACAAGCCATGAATGTATCACTGGTAAATACTCCCAGAGCCTTTAAAAATTGATGGGAACAACTAGGACAGGGACTAGATACAACTGAAGTAATAAGAAACATAATGTATTTTTTATAGCTGAAGAAAAAGTTTTATTCTGGGATTTTACACTTGATATGTGACTGGGTTTGCTGTAGGGTATTTGTAAATTATTACTGTATTGATAAGAATTACAGATGTAGGGTGGTGAATACAATTAGTAAATATATTCATGGCAAATACAGATTGTGTAGGCCATTTTATATTTTTAAGGGTCATTTTGGATTTGGTTGAACACATTTTTGCCTGAAAAATGTACCGTGTGAGATGAATATCTAAGGCATTTGATTTAGTTGCAGTTTGGATGTGAACTTTTTTTTTTTTTAGAGACATAGTCTTACTCTGTCACCCAGGCTAGAGTGCAGTGGTGGGATCTCGACTCACTGCAACCTCTGTCTCCCAGGTTTAAGGGATTCTGCTGCCTCAGCCTCCTGAGTAGCTGGGGTTACAGGCACGTGCCACTACACCTGGCTAATTTTTTTATTTTTGGTAGAGACGGGGTTTCACCATGTTGGCCAGGCTGGTCTCAAGCCTGATCAGGCTGACCTGACCTCAAGCAGTCCGCCTGCCTCAGTCTCCCAAAGTGCTGGGATTACAGGCGTGGGCCACTGTGCCGGGCCAGATGTGAACTTTTTAATGCACCTTTTTGTTCCTGCTTTTCCCCATTAGATGTTTAAAATGTTAGTATGGATAAATATTGGCTTTTGAATTTATATAGTTGAAACTAATTATATTTTTCTTGTCATTGTAGAGTTACTTCTCCAGAGGAGGTGCAAAGTTCATTGGGATGATTGTTAGTCCCTATAATCGAAATAATCCCTTACCATATTCTCAGATTACCTGCCTGGTTATAAGTGAGGAAATTAGCCCAGATGGCTCTTATCGTAAGTTTTCAACAAAAATAACTTTATCCTCTTTCTACTCTTATTTCTTTGACTCATACAAATCAAAAGATTTGCAACTGTTTAAAATTATTTAATGCAAGAGTTTGTGCCCTCAACTAGGGAATCATTATTTGGGTGCCACCCTAGTGCAGCCACCCTCTTCCGTTTCTTAATCTCCTGCTATATTCAAGTCCCCACTTTTGTTACCATGGCCACTGGGCAAAAGGATTGAAATATGGAGAAAAGTTATGGCCAGGCAGTGTGTATGCTAGGCACTGGAGATGTTGCAGTAAACAAAACAGTCTCTGTTCTCATGAAAATTTTTTTATAAATGCAGACTGGCTTTCTCTGTGATGGCATGCAAATGAAAAAAAAAATGACCACCAGCTCTCTGTCACCTCCCGGTTTAGGGTTAACAATGACTAACTCAATTTGTATCTCTCTTTGTTCCCATTCTATCTCAGGAAAGAATTTGGTTGGCATAGACCATCATCTGACTTGATTCCCCTGAGGTTTATGTCCACTTGTAGTCCAAACATTTCTGGGCGGATAGGGAGTTAGTATAGCAGACTAGGAAAAGGAAGGGAGTGTGGCTAGAAAGCAAATAATCAGAGGAAACAGTAGGCTAAATAACTCTAGGATATTTATTCTGTCATTACTACCACTGCTATAGGTCAGGTCCCCTGGACACTGCCACTACAGTTACCCCACATTGTACTCTTCCCCATTAGATTATGAGCTCTTTGAGAATAAATACTGTATTGTACCCATTTTTTCTATCCTGTTTCTAGCATGAGGCCTGGCATAAAGTAGATACTAAATGAATATTTGTTTAATAATTAATTTCTCTTCATTCTTAATGATCTCTCTTGGATGCCCTATATTTGATGTAGATTTACCAGCACTGCCCCCATGTTATTTACTATTAGTTGCTTTATTCTTTATGTATCTGCAACACTTTATTCCTGCCTTCATGGTCACTTTGTCTTTTAATGCAATTTATCTATTTAGCAAGTCCTAATAAATTGTATGCCCAAAGAGCAGGGACTGTGTCTTATTTGTCTTTTTTCTCAAGTAGCACCTAATAAATTGCTTTGCATCTAGGAGGTGGTCAACACTATGGGTTTTTACTGAATTAATAATATTGGTATTAGCTTTTAGTCTGGAATGTCCATTTTGAGCATAGCACATAATACATATTATTCTTTAGCTCAGTACAGTTTTATAAAAAGAATCGCAATTAACTTGTTCTCTTTAAATCATTTTTAAACCATCTTTAAATCATCATCTGACTTGATTTTATAATCTCACAGACTGCTAGGTTTTGGTAATGAACCTCAATTCTGATGCTATCCAGTACAATAGCAGTACGTGTGACTTTAAATGTAAGTTGATTAGAATTACATGAAATTTAAAATTTAGTTCATGGAATTCTACTCTGGCCAAAATGAAGTAAAAAGAACTTGTCTGAAACTACCAAAAAACTGGACAAAATATGTAAAATAATGGTATTTAAACACAACATTTAGCAGCAAAGGAATACGATTGCTAAGAGATGGGAAACAAATGAAAAGAGCCCCACATTACCCTAGCTTACTGCTTAAGAGGGTTTTCAGATATGGCACAAGAAGGAGAAACCCACCCAGAGCCAGGCCGACTCAATTAAGGTGATGGAGATAAGGAGACCAAGACAGCTGAGTTTGTGAGACAGAGCCCCAAGAGAACAGAAAGCAGAATGGAGAGTGAACTCTGGAGATTTGTAGAAGAGTATCCCTGGAGTATTTAGCAAAGTACAGATCAGCACATGTATGTGAATAAACTAGCCCAGATGGGAAAGAACTACTTGAAAGCATTAGAGGGAACTATCCATGATGCTCCCATGAGCTACCATTGGACAGAGCTGTCTTGTAAATGACTTGTCCATGCTTAACACTGCGTATTAGATCTTAATCCTAGGTCTTTTGCTTTGCCCTTAGAAATCCTCTGGTGCAAGAATTAAGGTTTTCTAGAAGCCATGGGATACCTTGTGCTACAGTACTTTTAACTCAGGTCATATCTTTACAATATCTCTAATGGTTTAATGTTTTCTTTACTTGTGACAGGCAGGAAATATATTTAGTGATCAGTTTTCTTCTGATATTTTAGTGGATAAAAATATTCTCTATAAAAGAAACTTATTGACTTTAAAAGTACCTTTTTTAACTTAAAAAATATTCTTAAAAATACCAAATAGACCTGTATATAATTTGTGTGTATGTTTTCATGTTTTTGCATCAGCATAGATTGAAAATGCATTATTTACCTCTCTTTATTTTCATCTTCAACTTTCATTGAGAGTAGGAGTCACTCTACTGGATTCAGATCCCAGCTCTGACATTTATTGCTTATTTTACCTTGGGCAGTCTACTCCCTCATTCTCCTTTGCTACATCTGTAAAATGAGAAAAAATTACTACCTTGCTTACAGTAGGTATATGGTTGTAAGGTGTGTCAGTAATATATGTAAAGTGTTTAGCAAATAATAGGTTTTCAGTGGGTGGTTATCATTATATAGATGGTATCCATGTTTAGTAAGTAATCAAAGCATGTCAAGTAAATGACTGTTATCACCATAAGGAGTTTGCTTAATACCCCGTGTACTATAGTGTGTCACTCTTCTTAAGTTTTTGGAGAAGAGGAAAATTGAGCAATTAAATAAAAAAGATCAGTCATCATCATCAGGCTTGCTGTCCCCTTTCCTTCCAAACACCTGAAAAAATGCCTTTTTAGAGCATATTGACATTTAAGCTATGCTTTATTTCATTGTGAGGAAATAATTGTATTTTTCCCCTTTTTTTTTTCCATGCCTTCTGATTTGCTGGCATTTTATTTATTCCTTACCATGGTAGAAACCCAGTTGAGGCAGTATTATGTATAAGTTAAAAGCAGAACTCTCGAGCCTGACTGCCTGGGTTCAAATCCTGCCAATGCCTTTTATATCTGATCATGAGCAGGTTAACCTTTCTATGACGTAGTGTCCTCATCGAAAAAAAAAAAAGGGGGGGGTGAATAATGGCAGCTACTTCATTTAAGTGATTTCACATTAAGTTTTAGGTGGCACATAGTATGCATTATAAGTGTTACTATGATGGTATCAGCCTTTGCTAGTGAATCAGCTGAGCTTTTAAAAAAATGCTATAGATGCATTTGCATGGGGGTCTTGAAGGATATGTGAAAAATTGCTAAGATAACTCATCGTTTGGTATTTTTTCCTTTCTAGATGAATATATGATGTTCACCCCTTGGGCTTCTTTCTTTCCTCCAGAGTTTAGTATAACAACTTTGACTCAAAGCAGTTGCTGCCTCCCCAGAGTTCATCCTATCCTCTTGTCTAGTCTTAGATTAGCTCTTCTAGGGAGGTGGAATGAGTTTGGGCTCAGAAGTGAGGCAAACCTGCTGGGTTTTAACATCTGTGTCCTGCCACTTTGCTAGCCTAAATATGATTTTTAATGTATCTCAGCTTCAGTTTTCTCACCTGTTAAAAAAAAAACAATAACTTACAGCATTGTTGTAAGCTTAATAACCTGTATATATATATATTTTTAATTATCACTAGGATGGCAATATGTCTTAGTTTGTCTAGGATAATCCCACTTTAAACCTGCGGTTCAGGCATAATTATTAATAGTACCTTCTTTCATTCAAAAAGTCTCTTGGTTTAGGTGATAAATTACGTGATCATCCCATCATAGTGCCATGCGTAGAATTGTCATGTAAATGGCACTTTTACTCATTATTATTATTAATAGCTTGGCATTAATATGCTTAGTGGACCAAGTACAATCGGGCAATAAATATTTAATGAATGCCCACTATGTTTAAAGTGCTGTTCAGCTGATCTGCAAAGCTATGGCTGTAAAAACACCGAAGGGAATTTTAAGTATAATTAAAAGGAGATTGGAGAGTTAAGAAATAGTTGATGACAATGTGCTTCTTTATGCTTTTCTAGGCTTACCTTACAAATTTGAAGTACAGCAGATGTTAGAAGAACCTCAGTGGGGATTAGTATTTGAAAAGACAAGATGGATAATAGAAAAATACAGGCTCTCCCATAGGTATGTACTGTGGTTTGAGATGGTTGCACATCTGCAGTGTTGCTCATTAAATTATGTTTCAGAGAAAACCCAAGTTAAATATAAAATTGTGATGTATGGCATCCGTGATAGTTTATTATGAAACTGATTAGTTTATAGTATTCGTTTCACCAGTTTGTTTTCATATTTCTTCCTACAGCAGCGTCCCCATGGATAAAATCTTTCGCCGGGATTCTGACCTGACTTGTTTGCAGAAAGTAAGCTGTCTTCATTTTAATTGGTTCCATTGTTCACAGATTCTGAAGCTATTCATCTCAATGTGTTTTCCCATGATGCCTAATACTTTGTGGATAATTTTCTGTATATTTCTTTTATTACTTTTTCCTTTGGAAAATTAATTTCTAGGAGATAATTAGTAACGTTTTTTGTTGCCCAAGCTTGCACATAGAAAAAATTCTATTTTAGAATAAATTTGTCAGTGTTGGCTGATTTTAGCAGATTATTATTATACACAATGGAGAACATTTTTCTTATTTTATTAAATTTGAAAGTGCCATGTTTCCATTTTAGCCTTAACAATTGGTCATTTTTAAGAATGATGGTATAAATCTAACAATTAAATTTAAATAGTCATTTTATTTAACTTTCTAATAGGAAATAAGAGTTTTGAATTCTGTCAGTTCACGTCTAGGTTTTGCTTCTGTAATGATTGAAGGCTAGTAGATCTGCAACATTTGTCTTTTTAAATAGCAATTGGGGATAGAAAATTTAAACATTAAGTTTCTTTTTAATATGTTTTACTCCTTTCTGTTATATCCAGTTTTTTGTGTGTTGTTGAAAAAGTATGTGCACATTTCCAAGGAAATAGACTCCAGCTAGCATCCTCATTTTGAAATGCAGAATCCTATGTTTTTATGTACCTAGATTTTTGTGTGTGTGTATACTCAGGATTATTTTGCTTTGTAAGTGTAACTACAAATGGAGAAAAGTCGCAAATACGTCCGAAGTAGAAAGCATCACATAAACAATCTCAGGTTTGTCTCCTTATGTAAAATCATAAAAGTACTAAGCTGAGTGTTCCTCAGCAGCAATTTCCTACATTCCAGCTCTGTGACTATTAAACACAAGTTAATCTTCAACCATTTTTAAGGAGAGTGTTTCTCATTTGAGCATTAGGAAATGTGAGGTCTGGAAAGGGACGAAATAGTGATAGTAATGCAAACCCTCATACTTTTTCTGTATTTAAATATAAAACTTTTCTTTTCAACTAGCTTTTGGAGTGTATGAGGAAGACTCTGAGCAAAGTGACCAATTGCTTTATGGCTGAAGAATTCTTGACTGAAATAGAAAATTTGTTCCTTTCCAATTATAAAAGCAACCAAGAGAATGGAGTAACCGAAGAGAACTGTACAAAGGAATTGTTAATGTGATTATTTTAAAGTTAAGACATTTTAATCTTGACACAGTAGATCTTACTTTCAAAGTTATAAACTTGAAGTGATTGTAGTTAACATTGGCACAGCTTTGGTATTTTTTCTCTATTTCACAAAATCCAAACTTTGCCACATAAATCATGTGAAAAGGAAGAGATACAAATTTGTTTTCATATAGTGATTATCAGAGTGTTCTGCAAACCAGGGTCCACCACGGTGTTCTAGTCCTTTACTGAGCAATGCTGTAGGCTGTGAAACTAAGCAACCTGGTCGGCTTTACTGTTGTGTTCAGCTTGGGATTTGGACTATGTCTCTAAGTCATTTCTTCCCTGAACTAGTCATTTATGTTCCATTGTGGTATCTCCTATTTCATTTAAAAGCACTTCCATTCTTTCCATATATTCTGCTGAGATTTGTTTATGGCTATAAATGAGATATGGATGGGTGGTCACTGAGATAATTAATATGGTTTAGAACTACTGATTAATAAATCTAACAGGAGACCAGGAGAGGCATGACAAGAAAATCTTAAAAACAGGAAAAACCCAAAGGAGAGAACTAAATTACCAGTTTCTAATCATAGATACTATCTTCCATTTCATTGTATAGCAGTAGTATCATAAGATATGCCATTTTCTCAGCTATCTGAAAATTTTTAACCAATTTTACACACATAAAATAATTAGCTTCAATTGTGAGTCCACTTACATTAGTAGGTGTGATAAAACCTCATTTAACTGGAACATAGGTAATCATAACTCAAACTTTTTTTCTACTGCCTACTACTAGGAGAAAGAGGCAAATGATAATAAAGCTGGAATAAATCAGAGATTTAATTTTTAAAACAAGCCTTTCAGGACATGTTACATATTCAGCCCAGTTTCATATGCTTTCTGAATCTATAATGGAGGTCAGTGAACTTTTTTAATGTAAAGGGCCAGTTTGTAAATAATTTTGGCTTTTCAGGCCACATATGATGTCTATGAGACATTCTTCTTTGTGTGTGTGTGTGTGTGTGTGTGTGTGTGTGTGTGTTTTACAGCCCTTTAAAATGATAAAAACCATTGTTAACTCACAGGCCTCATAAAACATAGGCTGTTGGCTATTATTCTCCAACCCTTGATCTAGAGAATTTTAAACATTAGAATTTTGTTTTACATTTGTTAAGCTTTACGTCATCTTCAAATGACACCAAAACTCAGAATTATGATCTGCATTTAAGCCAATTTTAAAATAAAATAAGCAGTCAATGCTGCCTCATTTATTGAAATTCAGTAGATTTTAGTTTATTTCTTAGTAGTCAGAGAATTGATTTATAGCTATTCACCAAACATTCTTACTAACGTTTCCTTATATCTAAATCAGATTGATTCTATATTTTGCTTTGTTTGTAATCAATAGCCAATGAAGAATAAGGAGTATTGGAAGAAGCAGTGAGTCAGCTTTAGGTGACCTGGTTCTTGTCTCAACTTTGTGATTTGGGGAGATACAGTTTACTTTCCCTGAGCCTTAATTCTTGTGTAACTGAAGTCTAACTTAACTTCTTAATGTCCTTCCAGAACTAAAATTTTATTGTTCATTCTAATCGTTGGACTACTCTTGTGAAGTTTATATTTTGAGTTAATACAGTTTCCAAATTAACATACATTTAAAAAAAAAAGGGTAGTATTTTTCCATTTCTCTGTGTGCACTTAGGATAAACAGTGAAGTATAGCTTATAAAACAATTAGTTTGAGGGCTGAGAGTGTAAGAGGAACTATACCAAAAGTCAGGAAACCTGAGCTCTTACCCTAACTCTGTTACCAACTTTGCTGTGTGACCTTAATCAAAACACATAACCTGGACCCCATGCTCCTCACCAGTAAATCAAGGGCCTGAATTTTATGGCTTAGTATTCCCTTCCAAGCTCCGAAGTTGCGTGATTCTGTGAAAGGCAGTGATTGATTCCTTTGTACTCATCTTCCTTTTGACCTGTTTCCTCATGATATATTGGGGAACAAATACTAAAAAGTGTTTTATACTAGCTTTCTTGATTGACATTTCCCTATAATACTGATGAATTTGGGTGATGGAAAGTAATGGAAATTGTTAAAAGTTCTGCTCTCAAATCTGAGTCTCCTTGCCCTGTGTGCCAATGTTTAACCATATTTGCTAATCTAAGCCATATTGCGAGGATCTCAAGGATGATACTTGTCAAGAGTTTGGGGCCTTGAGAGCACAGTTTTCAAAATAATACTTAGTATTTTCTGACTATAGAGTACATTTGTCTTGTAAAGTATATTTTAAAATACAGAGAAGTGTGAAGTACAAATATCTCAGTGCTACTATTTAAAAAAACACAATTAGTATATAAATCCTTCCCCATTTTTTTGACAGTATAATTTTAGTATGTTAAACTTGGTTACTTCTTTCTCTCTTCCTCCATCATTTTCCCTGCTTCCTTTTTCTTTTGTCATATTCTTAAAACAATTTTGCAACCACAGGTACCCACATTGCTGGCACTACCAGCCTTGGGCTACTACCGAGGATAATGGAGCCAGGGCCTTGTAGAAGCACAGAGGAAGTCTAGAACTGAGGGGGCCTATGATACAGGAAGTTCAGGAGGCAGAGTCTCAAAGGAACACCTGCCTTTAATAATGTTTACAGAAGTGGAGAAAGGACTAAAGGACTTAAAGACATGCAGGTGTCTTCATCCTGATTCTGTCTTTGTTATTGCACAATGACTATAAAATAATGACCTAATTTTTTTTTTTTTCTGGCTTGGCTAATGGAAATCGACACTAGCGCTTCCCCAGTATTAGACTTAATCTAATTCCAAAGTAACATTCAAGAAAAGAAAAACCAGTGGAACAGGATCAGTAAGCTCAGACTCTCCATCTCCATTATTTTAGCCTTGACCATTCTTCTCTAATCCTTTTAAATTATCTTCAGTTTCCAGTTCAAGTTACATTGCTTCAGTTACAGTTTGTTTGACCCTGTATTCAGAGCTGCATTATGATTCTTGTGGGCCCTAGATAGTTTTGCCATCTTAGACCCCTTCTTCCATACAAAATTAAAAGTGATATTTTACAATTGTATCTGTATGAAATGAATGTATTAATATTTTAGATTAAAACATTTTGTTTAGAAGTTCAGTTTTTTCTTATGAGGCTAAAAAAAATTAAAACATTTTTGTGGGCTTCTAAAAAACTGTGGGCCTTAGGTACTGTGCCTAATGGATAAGTTGGCATTGCCTGTATTCTGAAGGGCATCATTGGAAAAATAGCAGTCATTATTCTGTCCCCTTCTCCCACCACCACAGTCCTTGGAGAAGCCTTTGCCACTCCATCCAGGAGCACTGCAGTTTCCACGGTTATAGATCTATAGACTTGAACTTACTTCCTTCCCAACCTAACGAAAACTCACAAGGATTACTTGGGACCATTCATCCTCAAAAAAGATAGGAGGCAGTGGTTTGTTTTAGTCTTCAGATATTTTTGTTTTGGTCAGTCCCTAATCTGTAGTTTTGAAACTCGTGCCACACTTGAAAGGGAAACATCCTACTACCTTTCTTTCCTCTCCATTTCCCACAAACCCTTTCCTTCATCATCACTCCCTGCATTCTTACTTCTCAGCATATAAATACAAGACCCTTCTTTCTATTATTTGTTGAAAGCTAGGCCTGTAAAATAGAGATGGACAGACCATGCATGTTTCCATGAAGCTATTTAATGCTGCTCCCAGTCTTCTGTCCATACCATTCCTTCCCTGCCCCTAGGAGTGGGGTTGAGGTCTGTGACATGCAGACTGTAAGCACAGTCAGAACCTCTGCAGCTCTCAACCCAACAGAGGAGACTGTGGCTTCAACATGCCAACCTGAGCAGGTCTCCTCTGCATTACCTTCCTCCCATTTCTCTTCCTGGGTCCTGATGAGGTGAGCTGGAGGAACCAATAGTCAGGATGCCCTGGAATTGATGTTGCTCTGTTTTGTGCTCACAAAACAGCCATGTAACACATGAGCACCTGAGTTGAAGCCATCCAGTCGCAAGTCAGCAGACAGCAGTTGATGGAATTCTCAGTAGAAATTCAGTAAGGGTGCCCAAATTTTATTTTTTTTTTCACCTATACTCTACCAATATATGGTATTTAGGAAAACTTCTTTTATCCAAGCACAAAGAAAAGCACACACATTTTTATAATCATCTGCTTCATCAGGGTAAATAAATAATTTAACAAATTTGATCAGCATCTCTAGTTTACCAGTACTTTAATATTAGTTTTCTTACAAATTAATGTATTTTGCAATATTTCCAGAAAATCACTGTGGGAGAATAATGTAATATACTTTAGGATATATTTCCTGACCTTTTCTTAAATGGCTTCATGTGCTATTCCCCCAAATTCTGCTTTCTCTATTTTCTTTTTTATTTAACCTATAATTATACTTTCTAGTATATTCTGAGTCTATCTTCTAAGCCACCTTACATTTTTCCTGGAACAAGGGAGGGAATAAATAGTTGCCTCCACTAAATCAGGAAAAAATAAAAATATCCCAGGGGAGCTGTGATTATGCCAAGAGCTCTAAACAGAAGTTTGAGAAGGTAAAAATTAAGTTGTAGTATCTGAGTTGTTTTTATTTTCTTCCTTTGGTGTTTATGAAGGTATTCATAAGAACTTTAATTTCAGGGGAAAAAAATGCCTGATTTGCTATTTTTGACATTTCCTCGTCTCTTAAGAAGTCAGTTAAATATGTTTTCATAGTTTATATTCCTGTTTCATAGATTACTGTGAAACATGTATTTAAACCTATGAATTATAAAATAGTATTTAGATTCTAGCGTGAGTTAAATAGATTAGTCATATATCTTTTAGATTTGTGGATTTGACATGTAAATTATGTGTTGTGTATAAGTAAGTTAGTTACTAAACATATGGCATGGTTATTGATAAACTTGTTGCTATTTTTTTCCAAATGCTATCAGTGTTTGTGGACTTTTAAAAATTAGTTTGAATTTTGGAATGTTCTGTGATAAAATGTAATTTCAACTATTTTGTACATTTAAATATGCCATGTTGTATATGTCTGTATTTAAAAATGTTGTAAATACCTGCATTTTAAGAATTATGAAAGATTTTCCTCAAAAATGACAGAACTCTCCATACTTAATTGTGACACATTATAAGATATCTGATTTTAAGCTTTTGGATTTTGTTCTAAAAATTAAGTTTAAACATGCTGAAAATTCCATAAAAATAAAATTTTGAAAATAAAGTGATCATTTGGATTATTTCTAAATTATTAGCAATATACACATTGAATTGCAAAAAAATGCCACATTTTAATTTATCAAAGATTTGTTGAGCATCTGTTATATAGAACACTGTAGGGGAAGCAAAGATGAGGAAATCTTAATTTCTTCCCACAAGAAGCCTTGTAAGTGGGAAAACAGATAAAGCCCAACATGAATAGCTAAGACACTGAGATGCAAAAAGACTTCCAGGGTAATGGATGGTTAAACAAATGAGAGAAAATTCTCTGGAATATGAGCAGTGAGATCAATTTCTGGGGAAGAGAAGCCGCCTAATCAGATTTGGTTAAATAGCATTTGTGGGAGGATGCTCCAGAGAGGTGTTTAGCATAGGTGTGGAGGTAAGGAGTGAGAATGGCGAGAGTTTTGGTTAAAGGGTAGAGTATATGAAGATGTTCATTATGAAAGCAATACACATTCTGTCAACTAAAGGCTGTAGAAGGTGTAAAGGAAGTGAAAATCTACCTTAAAAGCAGTATTCCCTCATTTATTGATCATCAACTTTCCAGTCTTTATGCAAAACCTACAAATTTTTTTTAAAAACCCAACAGAATCATACTGTATATCTTTAACTTCTATAATTCTCATTGAGGACATCTTTCCATGTTGGTGCCTAAAGTCTATTCATCCTTTACAGTAAGTACATAGTATTCTGCAGTATATATTTGTCTTAATTGATTTGATCTGTTTTCAGTTGAACTTCAGGTTGTTTCCATTTTTCTATTAAAAATATATTTTTTCTTTTACACAGTTAATACTTCTCAGAAGAGTCATAGAACCTTAGTTGCTAGATCAACTATGCAGCCTTTAAATTTTGTTAGTATCTGCAGAAAAATTTTTATTCCTATAAGCTAATTTTCCTTAGAGTAGTACAGGCATATTCTGTCTTGTTACAGAACCAGTTTGAACTCAGGCACCTAAATGATAATCATTTAGGTGGCAAAGTACAAGAAATAGTAAATCCAATGCAGGTATTTCTGATTGGGTGGCCCTCCTGGGCAGCTCATCTTCAATAGATTCCTTTCACATTAGTGTTATCCCTTGGAGGACAAGGGGAACGAGGAAGAGTGGAGGGTTACGCACCTGGTACTTAACTACTTGGAAATACATATGGTTTTTGCTATTCCTTTGGGAAGAACTAAACATACGTTCCCACCTGAATGCAAAGGGAGCCGCTAAATGGAGTCCTGATTGGACTGGTACTTCTGCAAAATTCTACATTATGGAAAGGAAATATGAATCGTTGTTAATGACTAGCTATCTCTGCTACAGATGGCTTGGATTGATTTTCTAAAATAGTATAAATTTGTCTTTGCATGGCCTTTAAACTACTGTACTTGAGACCCCATGTTCATGAAGAAAAGTTGACATCAAATTTCTTTGAAACCAGAGCTCTATATTAAAATGGATAACCTATCTCCCTTAATTCAGAGAATTTTAAAGCTGGAAAAAGGATTGTTCAGGCTTACAGTTCTATATTTTAATAGGAAACAGGTTCCCCAAAATGAAGCAAGTTGCCCAAAGTCACAGCCAAGTTTGTAGCAAGATCGCCCCTAGAAAGACCCCAGCTCTGCCACCTAACCCAAGTGCTACTGCACCATCCTTTTGAGTGATGTCACATTATTTTTCAATCTCATAAAGAACTACTTAGTATTTTATGTGAGATTCAAATGTTAATACGTTTTAATTTAAAATGTAATTGTCTCTTTTAGAACTGCAAGATCTTATCAATGCCCAGAACATGATTTTTGTGGAACAGTTGACTAAGGAATTACTATTAGAAGTGCTATAATTAGTGAGACTTTATTCGCTTTATTGGCATTATCTAAGAGTAACAAACCCAAATCCTCGATGTTTGCATGCATGTCCACAAAGCCATGTTCTTCAATAATTGTAATGAAAATGTTAATGCTTACGGCCACTAGAGGGTGCTCTGTCACAGTGTGTCAGCACTACCATCTCAGCCCAGTACTGTTGGCTAGCCTAAGAGGCAGAAAAGACTGCACGTGTAGCTGAATTTGTAAGCACTAACACATTCACTTTTCTAGTTTCTTGACATAGTATGATCTAGGGATGAGTTTCCTTGTTTCATAGTATCCAGGTTAACTATCTTCACTTTTGTTTATAATAGTAACAGCCATCTATTATACATAGATACAGTGCTAAAAATGCTTTACATAACAGTGTCACATTTAGTTTCCACAACAACCTTGCAAGAAGAATCTTACTACCCCCATTTTAAACTTAGCCATAGAGTGTTTAAGTCACTTGCCCAACGTCATGCAGCCAGAAGTGGCAGAGAGAATTCAGATTCATATATAATTCTAAAGCCAGCTCATTAAGCTATTACGTTATTGATTTCAGAGCTGGAAGAAACTTAAGGAACAATTTAGTTTAGTCTCCTCACTTTGAGATGGGAGAACTGATACCCAAGTCCAAGTCACAGACCCAGTCAAAGCCAGATTGGGAAGTCAAAGTGTGTGCATTCCTTATCCTGTGATCTTGGGTCACGCCTCATGGCAATTCTTGCCTTCTCTGAGCAACAAAAGAAATCCTGTGCTCGTAGGTCCTGTGTCATGCTTTACCCAAACATGGTAGATGATATACCAAGGGATTGTCTTTGTTACCCAGACAACAGAAGGAATGGACCTTATGGATAGAAATTTTGCTCTGACATGGTTCTCTATTCTCTATTTCATAAGAGCCTCTTGCATTGTCACAGGTAATTAATCTTCCTGCTTCCAACAGGTCCCCCTCCATCCTCTACACTGAAGCCGAGGGATTTTTTTTTTTCTTCACGAAGCATAAATCTGAGCACATCATTTCTGTGCTTAAAGCTTTTTTTTTTTTTTTTTTTTTTTTGAGATGGAGTCTTGCTCTATTACCCAGGCTGGAGTGCATTAGTGTGATCTTGGCTCACCACAACCTCCGCCTCCCAGGTTCAAGCCATTCTCCTGCTTCAGCCTCCTGAGTAGCGGGGATTACAGCCGTGTGCCACCATGCCCAGTTAATTTTTGTATTTTGAGTAGAGATGGGGTTTTACCATGTTGGCCAGGCTGGTCTTGAACCCCTGACCTCGTGATCCACCCGCCTTGGACTCCCAAAGTGCTGGGATTACAGGTGTGAGCCACCGTGCCCCGCTGCTAAAAGCTTTTTAATGGCTTGGCGAGTTTTCTGCACCACTCCTGACGCGGAAGCGCAGAAGACCCTTACTTACGATGCACCCCTCTCTAGCCTAACCTCCTGCCACTCCTGCCTTCAAATACAAATACACACACACACACACACACACACACACTCCTGCCTCTGCTTTTTGCCCTAGCCACTCAACCCATTTCAACTGCCCATCTTGGATTAGACAAATCCAAAATGGGCAGCTTCACCCCTGCAGGCTCACCCCTTTCCCCATGCTTGAACAACACCCTTCCTGGTCCCAACCTTCTTCAAATTCAGCTCAAACATCACTTCCACCTGGAAGCCTGCCTGCCTTGAGTCTTCATTCACTCCAGATGGGGTTGATTGGGCCCCTCTCACACCCTGTTCTTATCTCGGCCCCAGTCACACTGCCTTCTGCTTGTCTCTTTTCTTTCCTACTACTTCTATGAGACGGAGCTTCTGAAGGGCTTGGACCCTGCCTTCTCACACTTCATATCCCCAATGCCTAGTATAATACCTAGCATAGATTAGGAAGGCACTTAATTGATGGCAGCTTGATGAATGGATAAATAATTGAATAAGTGAAAGAAAGCAAAAAGAAAGAATGGAAGGCAGATTCTTGGGGAAAAATCAGTTCTATGACAATCAGTTGCTGGATTTCCTGTGAGGAGTAGAAAACAACTGAGACAAAGCTGTTTGTTCTGAAAAACAAGCCCCAGAGTCTAGGTGGGAGCTGAGAGCCCCGGAGAAGCCACATCTCTTCATTATCTTAAGTGCAATGAGCACTTCAAGAGACATGAATCAACTGATTAGCAAGGGCAGCCTACTCCAGGAGAGGTATTCTCTTGCAATTTTCTCAAAAACACAAAGGCAGGTGAGATTATAACACTATAAACATAATTGCATTTTCTAATCAAAAGTGCAACATAACTTGGGTAATTATGAGGCGTCAGCGGTGTTACCACTTTATATCCTGAGTATTTTTATCACTACGAGTTGGGTAGCAACTGCTCAAACATTTTCATCCATCACCTTGTGTTCTCTTCTGTGGGGTTCATACATGGAAAACAAAATGAAAAAAAAAACCAAAAAACAGAAAAAACAGGCAAAAGGGTAGAATCCATTTAAAGATGACTAAGGTGCCTTAGTCATGCTGGATTTGAGGTCCAGCAGTGGGATGGGTTCTGCATTTTCTGGGCAAGTGATTTTTCTGTCAGGCAAACAGGACTAGGTGCATCATCCACAGCCCTGCCTGAGGGGAGCCAGGAGAGACAGGTCCAGCTCCAGCCCACACCCAGGACCTTTCTCCACTTTGAAAGATGCCTGTGAATTGCACTTCCGTTTCACCCAGGAAATCAATGCAGCCCAGCTTCTCTGCCCAGGGCCCAGCGGAGGAAGATATATCATACTCTGGGCAGACCCAGAATGCAGTTAGTTACCGTCTCCTCCTTAGGAGGGAGAACAACAATAGAACCAAAATAGCAATGCTAAAAAGCAGACATTTGGAGGGCTTGGGGGCCTTTTGTTGCTGCAAAAGGAGAAGGAAAGGATTTTGCCATGTCCCTGGGGTTTACGCGTTCAAGAGCCCTCCCTCCTGATCCAGGGACCTGGGACAGGCTGTGGGACCTGCAGGGCTCTATGTGGCATGAAGTTCCTTCTGGTTTTGTAGAGAGACAGGGCTGTACAATAGGAGCCCTGGATTTCTGGTCAAAAGCTTTCTTGGTGAAATAGATCTGGACAGGAAGAGAAGAGAGAAAAGGCACTCTAGGCAGAAGGTGCCCCGGAAGCGGTGGCACAGTGCCAAGAATTGTAGATTTCCGTGAGGCTGGTGTGCATCGTGTGTGGCTAGGAGTCGGGGACCACAGAAGGGGATGTGGACATGGGGTCAGGTCCCCCAGGGTGTCCAATGCTATTTTAGAGAGGGGTGCTTTCATGTTCCTCATGGAAAGAGATTCAGGCAATCAACAGCCAACATCTTCAAATCCTAAAATGAAAAGGTTTCTCTAAGCCAGTAGTATTCAGACTTTTATTTAGTTAGAAATCGCTGTTGAAAACAAATCTTGCATTAAAACCAAGCATATAAAACAAGTAATAACCAAAAAATAGAAAAAACCCAACTGGATATCAACTGATAAATGGATAAATTAAACATGGTCTACCCATACAATGGAATTATTATTCAGCCACAAAGAGAAATAAAGCACTGACATATATTACAACATTAATGAGCCTTGAAAACATTATGCTTAGTGAAGAAGTCAGACATAAATGACCACATTTTGTATTATTCCATTTCTAGAAAATGTCCAGAATAAGCAAATCATAGATAGAAAAAGTAGATTAGAAGTTGCCAGAGTCTCAGGTGGGAAGAAGGGATTGGGGAGTGACTGCTAATGGATACAGGATGTCTTTTTGGGGTGATGACATGTTCTGGAATTAGTGGTGATGGTGACGGTTGTACAACCTTGTGAATATACTAAAAACCACTCCGGATACTAAAAACCACACTTAAAAGTGGTGAACTTGATGATCTATGAGTTACATCTAGAAAGAGAGAGAGACGGAGGGAGAGAGGGAAGGAAGGAAGGAACCAAGCAGAGCCGATTTGGCTGAAGGGAGGAGGCACTGGGAAGTACAGTGGCCCTTATGGTTGGCCCTGTTTATTTCCAATGTCTGCCCAATCTCTCACCCAAGTTTTAAGCTTGGCTTCCAGATCCCTGGGGAGCCAAGTAGGAGAAAAGATATAGACACCTCAAAATTGAGCATGTAAACTTTCACCTAATCCTCCAATTTTTCCCCACTCCAGAAAGGTTCTGCTTCACTTTCTCCAGAGACTGACCAGGCAGCGACTACCCTCTTGGGGGTGAGATGGTCAGTAGCCTGCTAAGGAAGCAGGAAGCCACTAAGGGATAACTACATCTTAAACCCACTTTCTCTCTCTCTCTCTCTCTCTCTCTCTCTCTCTCTCTCTGTGTGTGTGTGTGTGTGTGTGTGTGTGTGTGTGTGTGTGTGTGTGTGTGTGTGTTTGAGACAGTCTCACTGTGCCACCCAGGCTGGAGTGCAGTGGTGTGATTTCGGCTCACTGCAACCTCCATCTCCCAGGTTCAAGCGATTCTCCTGCCTCAGCCTCCTGAGTAGCTGGGATTACAGGCATTCACCACCACGCCTGGCTAATTTTTCTATTTTTAGTAGAGATGGGGTTTCAACATGTTGGCCAGGCTGGTCTCCAACTCCTGACCTCAAGTGATCCTCCCCCGGCAGCCTCCCAAAGTGCTGGGATTACAGGCGTGAGCCACCGTGCCTAGCCTTAAACCCACAACCCACCTTCTACCAGCTATCATCATTCTAGCCCCACTGGCATCCCCAATTCCAGATGTCCCTGGTGCTACAAATTCTTGAGCTTTGGGGGTTCCACAAGGTAAATCAGGTCACTTCTTGAGGGTCTGCTTCTCCCACTCTCCAGACCTGCTAAGTCAGACCCCATGCATTGATTCATTATTGTCACGTCTCTCAAAACAAAGCCCCCCTACTACCTTGCTGTGCTTGAGTGATGTTTCAGGAGGGCATGGGATTTCATTGTGTGTGACCAATCCATTAACCCAAATCCAGCATGCTTTTCTATAGTTTCTACATTCCCTTTGATTAGCATATATTATTATTATTTTTTAAGAGACAGGGTCTCACTCTGTTGCCCAGGCTGCAGTGCAGTGGTGTCACCATAGTTCACCACAGTCTTGAACTCCTGGGCTCAAGCGGTCCTCCCACCTCAACCTCCCAAGTAGCAGCGACTAAAGGCGTGCACCACCATTCCTGGCTAATTTTTAATTTTTTTGTAGGACAGGATGTCACTATGTGGCCCAGACTGGTCTTGAATTCCTAAAGTGATCATCTTGCCTCAGCATCCCAAAGTGTTGAGATTATAGGCATCAGCCACTGTGCCTGGCCACATTATTTTTATAATCAGAAAAGAAAAAGCAATGAGAGGGAGACAGATAGAGATTTTGGAGGTGGACTGGAAAGACCCTGGATCCTGCCTGCAAGCAGGAGCGACAGCCAGGCAGGAATTGACAAGACTCAGAGAGATGGGAGATGAGGTGCCATTAGCAGAGATGTGGAGTCAGATTCCAGAAACAGGCCAGGGGGTGATCAGCCAGAGTGGAAGTTGCTCTGCTCTTGGGGGAAGGGATTCGTCTTCAAGCCATGAACACAGGGCACGTGGGGAAAGACCAACTTTCCAGAGTGTCCAAGTGGGCATGCAGTATAACTGAGGGCCTGACCCAATGACCAAATGCCCGCTGGCCTTGAAAACTGGAACCACTTGGCACCTTTCACCCTCCTACTCAGACTCAGCCCTTCTGGATATTCTGGGATCCATTTTGACTTTAGTAGGGAAGGAGTGAGACATAGAACATCTTGGGCTCTGGAGTCTTTAGTATCTAGTCATCCCAGCCGCAGATTCCTCTAAAACAGGGGTTCTCCCAAACCCCAGGCTGTGGACTGGTACCAGTCCGTGGCCTGTTAGGAGCTGGGCTACACAGCAGGAAGTGAGCAGCGGTGAGCATTACTGCCTGAGTTCCACCTCCTATCACATCAGTGGTGGCATCAGATTCTCAGGAGCGCATTGTGAAGTATGCATGCAAGGTTGTGCACTCCTTATGAGAATCTAATGCCTGATGATCTAAGGTAGAACAGTTTCAACCCAAAACCGTCCCCTAATCCCCGGTCCATGGAAAAATTACCTTCCACGAAACCAGTCCTTAGTGCCAAAAAGGTTGGGGACTGTTCTAGAACTCCCACCCCAATCCTAATAACCATCTGGTGGATAAGGCCCCACCTAAACCCCAATTCTAGCACCTGTCTACCAAACACATCTCTAAGTCCACATGTTGTTTCCTGCCCCTGGGGCCTCCCACCAGGACCTGAAATCTAAGCCAGAACCCAAGCTCTTCCCTGTGACCTGTTGCCAATCCTCTCTAACAGGCCTTGTCAAGTTTCTCCAGAGCCCTGCGCATCCAGAGCCAAAGTCCTGCTTTATCCAGGCACATTCATGATCAACAAAGGCAGTTAGAATAGCCAACATCATCTTCACTTCACCCTGGAAGACCTGGGGGGATGACTCAGGGGTAAGAGAAGGAAACATTTCTTACTGGAGACGACTGCTCCAGAATTACTCCTAAATGAATTTCAACCTGAAGGTTAAGCCCAGATCTGACCTGTCTTTCTGGAGCTCTCTGGAGCACATAAAAGCCTGATGATTTCTTCCTTATGTCAATAGATATAGTTTTCTGTCACCGATTTAGATCTGATTTAGGGAAGGCATAGTCTAGAGCTTGCTGAGCTGGTTTTGCAATGTAGATTCTGAGAAGAGATTGAATATCAGCCATAATAAATAAGATTGCATTTTCTCTAATCATATTTGTTTTGTTTTGTTTTGTTTTTTGAGACAGGGTCTCCCTCTGTCACTCAGGCTGGAGTACAGTGGCACAATCACGGCTCACTGCAGCCTCAACCTCCTGGACTCAAGGGATCCTCCTGCCTTAGCTCCCCAAGTAGCTGGGACTACAGGCATATGCCACTATGCCTGACTAATTTTTGCACTTTCTGTAGAGATGGGGTTTTGCCATGTTGCCCAGGCTGGTCTCGAACTCCTGGGCTGAAGCGATCTTCCTGTCTCGGCCTTTCAGAGTGCTGGGATTACAGGTGTGAGCCACTGTGTCCCACCTATATTGGTTCTGTATGAATAATTAATAAAGCACTTTTATAATGTTAAAGTGATGAGGGACTAGGGAGTCCTGAGTCTAGTGGGAGAAACAGAGAAGACATGTAAGAAAGACACCTTCTTGGCCATTGTTATTCTTATGGTATTTACGTCAGGATTGCCCAGGTTTAATCCACCTCTGCGACTGCTAGATGTGTGACCTTGGGAAATCTTTCAGTTTCTCAGTTTCTTCATATGTATACGGGGTCACTAATAGTACCTAACTTGCAAGGTTGTTGCAAGGATTAAATGAGTTCATACATGGAAATATATAGAACAGTGCCTGGAATGGAGCAAGTACTCAATAAATGTTAGCTACTATTAGTGTTGCATTTATTATTATTATTACTAGTGGTGTTGTTTATATTCTTATTTATATATTTATTTATTTATTTATTATTTTTCAGAGATAGAGTCTTACTCTGTCACCCAGGCTGGAGTGCAGTGGCGTGATCTCGGTTCACTGCAACCTCTACCTCCTGGATTCAAGCAATTCTCATGCCTCAGCCTCCCAAGTAGCTGGAATTACAGGCCCGTGCCACCATCCCTGGCTAATTTTTGTATTTTTAGTAGATTCAGGGTTTTGCCATGTTGGCCAGGCTGGTCTTGAATTCCTGACCTCAAGTGATCTGCCTGCCTTGGCCTCCCAAAGTTCTGGGATTACAGGCGTGAGCCACCGCGCCCGGCCACTCTTCTTATTTGGATATCATATCAGCAAAGTTTCAGTGTGGGAAATAGAAACCATGTAAATATTTTATACAAGAGGGGATTTAACACAGGAAATTGGATGCTTATAAAACTGTTGGAAAGGGGTGCAGCTCTGGGTTCTACTCAAGGCTGCCAGAAATGACCACCAGATGATTCTTACTGTCCAACTGAGGGAACTAGAACCTCTGAGGCCACAATTAGGGCCTGCTAGAATTAAGAATTTACCACTGCTGCAGTGACCACTACTATTTCTGCTGCCTCTGAACACTGGGAAGCTGTGGCTCTGACCACCCAGGGATCAGGAAGCCAAGCAAGCAGCCCTTGCCACCAGTGAATGAA